>NC_000023.11:80644360-80947390 GCF_000001405.40 Homo sapiens | reverse complement strand
TCATTGAAACTATAAGGCAATCACACAAACAAGTATGCATAATAACCAGCTAAAAATAGGCTGACAGGATCAAATTCACATATATCTATGCTAACTTTGAATGTAAATGATCTGAAAGTCCCAAATGAAAGGCACAGAGTAGCAAGTTGGATAAAGAAGCAAGAACCAACAGTATAGTGTCTTCAAGAGACCGATCATACATGCAATGACACCCATAGGCTCAAAGTAAAGGGATGAAGAAAAATCCAACAAGAAAATGGAAAACAGAAAAAAGCAGGGGTTGCTATTCTAATTTGAGACAAAACAGACTTTAAATCAGCAAAGATCAAAGAATACAAACAAAGACATTACAAAACAAGAAGACCTAACTATCCTAAATATATGCACACCAAACACAAGAGCACTCAGATTCAAAAAGCTTATACACTTCTGGTGGGAATGTAAATTAGTTCAGCTACTGTGGAAAGCAGTTTGGCAATTCCTCAAAGAACTTAAAACATAATTATTATTAAACTCCACAATTCCGTTATTGGTTATATACCCAAAGGAATATAAATTGTCCTACCATAAAGACACATGTACGCTTATGTTCATTGCAGCACTATTCACAACAGCAAAGACATGGAATCAGCCTAAATGTCCATCAGTGGTAGACTGGATGAAGAAAATGTGGTACACATACATTATGGAATACTATGCAGCCATAAAAAAGATGAGATCATTTCTGTTACAGCAACACGGATGGAGCTGGAGTCCATTATCCTAAGTGAACTAATGCAGAAACAGAAAACAAAATACTTCATGTTCTCACTTACTAGGGGGAGCTTAACATTCAGTACATATTTACATAAAGAAGGCAACAACAGACACGGGCCTACTTGAGGGTGGAGAGTGAGAGGAGAGATGATTGAAAAACTACTTATCAGGTACTCTGCTGATTACCTGGGTGATGCAATAATTTGTACATCAAACCCCTGGAACATACAATTTACCTGTATAACAAACATGTACATGTACCACTAAATCTGAAATAAAAGTTAAAAGGAAAGCAAGAAAACAAAAACAAAGTAAACTAAGAGGAAATGGAAAAACTTAACTAATGTAAAGCAGAAATCAATGAGTTAGAATAAAAATGGTAGAAATAATAAATAAATCCTAAATGTAATTCTTTTTAAAAAGTCACAAAATATGCTAGCACATGACACAGTTAATCAAATCAAATATGAAAGAGAAAGCTCAAATATACAAAATTAGAAATTACAAAGGGGAAATAAACTAAAATAAAGGAACTCTTTTTAAATCATGTGACTACTTTGCATAATTTTTTTCAAGTAAGTTTGACAACTGAGATAAATCTAGGGTCAGGACCACCTTGTGGAGCCTTGGGGTTGTGGTAACCCAGAACCTTGGGAGCATGACCTCTACTGAGCAGAGCCTAGTAAGCAGGACTACAGCCCCGGTGGATCTGGAAGGCAAAACATTGAACCAAGGAGGATTATTCTCAAGCCTTAAGATCTAATAGAATTTACATTGTTAAATTTTGGGCTTGCTTGGAACCCATCATGCCTTTCTTTCTTCCCATATCTCCGTTTGAAATGGGAATGCCTATCCCATGCCTGTCTCACCACTTATTTTGAAAGCACATAAATTATTTAGTCTTGCAGGCTCACAGCTGGAGGGAAATTATGCCTCAGATTCACTTGTACCTTAAATTTTATCCATAACTGATTTAGGTGATATTTAGATGAGACTTTGGACTTTAGAGCTGATACAGGAATGAGTTAAGACTTCTGGGATTGTTAGGATGGAATGAATGCATTTTGCATGTGAGAAAGACATAAATATAAATTTTGGAAGACTGGAGGCAGAATGCTATGGACTAAATTGTGTTCCCCCAAAACTCACAGTCAAAGCCCAAATCCCAAATGTAATGGTGTTTAGAGATGGGGTCTTTGGGAAGTAATTAGAATAACATGGGATCATAATGGTAGAGCCCTCAGATGGAATGAGCGGCAGCTTTAATAAGAAGAGGAAACTCCCTACACCAAATGAGAACACAGAGAGAAGGCAGTTCCTGCAGATCAGAAAGATGGCCCTCACTAGTAACTGAATCAGCTGTCACTTTGATTTCAGACTTCCCAGTCTCCAGAACTGTGAGAAATACACATCTGTTGTTTAAGCCACTCAGTTCATGGTATTTTGTTATAGCAGCCCAAGCTGACTAATACAGATAGGAAGAAAGAAAATCATAATAATTCAATTACTTGAAAATCATTAATTTAATGCATTCTCAATACAATTTTTTTTCCTGAAGCTAGAAAAGGTAATTACAAAGTTCACAGAAAAAAACAAACAAACAATTGAAGCATAGCTAGGGAAACCCTGAGACAAAAGAGCAAGGAGAAGCTGTTAGTGCCTGATTTTAACACTCATTATAAAGCTTCTATAACTAAAACAATATGCTGTTGGAGCATGAATAAACATACAGACTAATGGAAACTAGTAGAAAATTCGATTACAATATGCAAATATAGTATATGATAAAGTAAGTGTCTTAGTTTGGATTTCCCCAGAAGGAGCTCCTGAAATGGGGATTTAGAGTACAGTTTATTTGTGTAGTGATCCTAGGAAATACCAATAAGAGAGTGGGGAATTGAAACAAACAAAAAAGGGTAGCCAATAAAGGGTTTATCATCAAGGAAGTTATCTCTGTGTGTATTTAGAGCTTACTTCTGCTAGTTATTCTGGGCATAACACATTCCTCAGTGTTATCCCTCCTAAGGCTTATTTTGTAATCAACTTTTATTAGTCATTAGTTGTAGGCTGCTTTACTGGTGTGTTTCCAAGTACTTCTAGCCCACAATGTATGGGCAGAGCAGGTTCTGGTAGCAAGAGAAAACACCTCAGGTAAAGAAAGGAAGTTGATGGTAATTGGAAGTCCTGTAGACATGCACTGAAGTGATAAGGGTAAAGGGGTACAGACAGGGCACCTACAGCTTTCGATTCAGGCTGCAGATGAAGTCAGTAAAGAAAATATAAGCCTCTTAATAATTGGCATAAGAATAACTAAAAAGCCACATGGGGGAAAGAAAACATTATATCTATTCCTCAAACCATACAATAAGGCAAACTTTACATAGATAAAAAGATTTCAGTGTAAAAAATGAAAACATACATATACGAAAAGATATATGGGTAAATTACATTATAACTTAGGAATAGGAAAAACTTTCCTAACTATAACTTGAAATCTAAAAGCAAAAAGAGAAAAGATAGATAAATTTTATTATATATTTTTAATTTGCATGACAAAAGACGCTCCATAAGCAAAGAAAAAACAATGGCAAAATTGGAAAAACAATTTTCAACAAAAGGTTAACATGTCTAACATATAAAAGTGCTTTTAACAATGGGAAGAATAACCACCCTTTATAAATGGGATAGAGAAATGAACAATGCAGTCACAGAAAAAGAAATTCACACAGCTCTTATTTATGTCATTCCTGGTGACTGAGAATTGAGATTCACAACATTGGAGAAAACAGATACAGAAGTAAGATCAAAGAGGTTAATTTAAAACTTGTGTTCTGGGATTTGAATTTTAAGTGTCATAAAGTATTTCATCTTTTAAAAATGTTCTTAACTTTAACTCTGTCTACTGAAAATACCTAAAAATAATGATCATCCCAGAAACAAAGAGCACTCCTAGTACCCTGATTGTAGGGTACTTGAAAAAAACCATTCCCTCTAAAATGAAGCAGTGTTACTTGCTGAAATTCAAGTTTTGGGGCAGAAAATGTACAAGATGAGCCTGGAACACCTTGTCATATCAGAAATAAAGAAGCTATTATTAGACTAATGGGGGCCATGTCAAAAAACTCAGAAGCCAACTTGAACAGATTACTACAGGTCAAAGAGGAACAATTTGAGGACCCATAAAGATAATAACTGTCAGGGACTGAAACATATCAATCATTCTAATCATAATGAAGGTTTAAGTAAATAAATTGGTCACCAATGGAAGCTGCTAGTGAACAACACCATTTTGAAACTTGGTAAAGGAAAAAACTCAACGCTTGCCTTGCCTCTCCTGAATATAATATGTATCTTATGGTAACCAAATAGTTGATCAGGTGAAGTTTCCCTTTATAGAAGTAGTCCAGATAATAAATTAAGAAGGAATGTTACAATTAGGATATTACCATTTTGCAACCCAAATTAATTAATGCATCTACACATTTTACATCAACTGCTACAAACATCTCAAAAAGAAACAGCCACACATATAATAGGCCCCTGATGGAAGAATGCTACGCCACCCAATGAAGTATTCCTACCCCTCCTAAGAAAAGTCATACATGAATCTGATGAAGACTTTGGATCCAACTACCTATTTATGGGAAATGCAGGGGGCAGTGAAATGTAAATTGTACCTCTGAGATGCAATCATCAAAATTCAGACCTTAGAAAATTTTATAAGACAAATGACCTAGTTTCTTCAATAAATACATTACAAAAGGGAATACTGGAGAAGAAATTTACAAATTAAAACAGACAAGAGTTTACCAACCAGTCCTAATGTTGGGACCTTATTTGGACCCTGATTCAAACAAACAGTTGCTGAAAGAATATTACAGCATTTATGAGATAACTGGAAATTCAACATTGGATATTTGGTAATTTTAAGGAGTGATGAATTTTTTTATTATACTTTAAGTTCTAGAATGCATGTGCACAATGTGCAGGTTTGTCACATATGTATACATGTGCCATGTTGGTTTGCTGCACCCATTAACTTGTCATTTACATTAGGTATTTCTCCTAATCCTATCCTCCCCCATCCCCCCACCCTACAACAGGCCCCAGTGTGTGATGTTCCCTGCTATGTGTCCAAGTGTTCTCATTGTTCAATTCCCACGTATGAGTGAGAACATGCAGTGTTTGGTTTTCTGTCTTTGCGATAGTTTGCTGAGACTGATGCTTTCCAGCTTCATCCATGTCCCTACAAAGGACATGAATTCATCAGTTCTTATGGCTGCATAGTATTCCAGGGTGTATATGTGCCACATTTTCTTAATCCAGTCTATCATTGATGGACATTTGGGTTGGTTCCAAGTCTTTGCTATTGTGAATAGTGTTGCAATAAACATACATGTTCATGTGTCTTTATAGCAGCATGATTTATAATCCTTTGGGTATATACCTAGTAATGGGATGGCTGGGTCAAATGGTATTTCTAGTTCTACATCCCTGAGGAACCGCCACACTGTCTTCCACAATGGTTGAACTAATTTACATTCCCACCAACAGTGTAAAAGTGTTCCTATTTCTCCACATCCTCTCCAGCACCTGTCGTTTCCTGACTTTTTAATGATCGCCATTCTAACTGGTGTGAGATGGTATCTCACTGTGGTTTTGTTTTGCATTTCTCTGATGGCCAGTGATGATGAGCATTTTTTCATGTGTCTGTTGGCTGCATAAATGTCTTCTTTTGAGAAGTGTCTGTTCATATCCTTCGCCCACTTTTTGATATGGTTGTTTGTTTTTTTCTTGTAAATTTGTTTGAGTTCTTTGTAGATTCTGGGTATTAGCCCTTTGTCAGATGAGTAGGTTGCAAAAACTTTCTCCCATTCTGTAGGTTGCCTGTTCACTCTGATGGTAGTTTCTTTTGCTGTGCAGAAGCTCTTTAGTTTCATTAGATCCCATTTGTCAATTTGGGCTTTGGTTGCCATTGCTTTTGGTGTTTTAGACATGAAGTCCTTGCCCATGCCTATGTCCTGAATGATATTGCCTAGGTTTTCTTCTAGGGTTTTTATGGTTTTAGGTCTAACGTTTAAGTCTTTAATCCATCTTGAATTAATTTTTGTAGAAGGTGTAAGGAAGAGATCCAGATTCAGCTTTCTACATATGGCTAGCCAGTTTTCCCAGCACCATTTATTAAATAGGGAATCCTTTCCACATTTCTACTTTTTGTCAGGTTTGTCAAAGATCAGATAGTTGTAGATATGCGGCATTATTTCTGAGGGCTCTGTTCTGTTCTATTGGTCTATATGTCTGTTTTGGTACCAGTATCATGCTGTTTTGGTTACTGTAGCCTTGTAGTATAGTTTGAAGTGTGATGCGTCCAGCTTTGTTCTTTTGGCTTAGGATTGATTTGGCAATGCAGGCTCTTTTTTGGTTCCATATGAACTTTAAAGTAGTTTTTTCCAATTCTGTGAAGAAAGTCATTGGTAGCTTGATGGGCATGGCATTGAAGCTATAAATTACCTTGGGCAGTATGGCCATTTTCACGATATTGATTCTTCCTACCCATGAGCATGGAATGTTCTTCCATTTGTTTGTATCCTCTTATTTCATTGAGCAGTGGTTTGTAGTTCTCCTTGAAGAGGTCCTTCACATCCCTTGTAAGTTGGATTCCTAGGTATTTTATTCTCTTTGAAGGAATTGTGAATGGGAGTTCACTCATGATTTGGCTCTCTGTTTGTCTGTTATTGGTGTATAAGAATGCTTGTGATTTTTGTACATTGATTTTATATCCTGAGACTGCTGAAGTTACTTATCAGTTTAAGGAGATTTTGGGCTGAGACAATGGGGTTTTCTAGATATAAAATCATGTCATCTGCAAACAGGGACAATTTGACTCCCTCTTTTCCTAATTCAATGCCCTTTATTTCCTTCTCCTGCCTGATTGTCCTGGCCAGAACTTCCAACAGTATATTGAATAGGAACGGTGAGAGAGGACATCCCTGTCTTGTGCCAGTTTTCAAAGGGAATGCTTCCAGTTTTTGTCCATTCAGTATGATATTGGCTGTGGGTTTGTCGTAGATTGCCTTATTATTTTGAGATACATCCCATCAACACCTAATTTATTGAGAGTTTTTAGCATGAAGCATTGTTGAATTGTCAAAGGCCTTTTCTGCATCTATTGAGATAATCATGTGGTTTTTGTCTTTGGTTCTGTTTATATGCCAGATTACATTTACTGATTTGTGTATGTTGAATCAGCCTTGCATCCAAGGGATGAAGCCCACTTGATCATGGTGGATAAGCTTTTTGATGTGTTGCTGGATTCGGTTTGCCAGTATTTTATTGAGGATTTTTGCATCAATGTTCATCAAGGATATTGGTCTAAAATTCTCTTTTTTGGTTGTGTCTCTGCCCGGCTTTGGTATCAGGATGATGCTGGCCTCATAAAATGAGTTAGGGAGGAATCGCTCTTTTTCTATTGATTGGAATAGTTTCAGATGGAATCGTACCAGCTCCTCCTTGTATCTCTGGTAGAATTCGGCTGTGAATCCATCCGGTCCTGGACTTTTTTTGGTTGGTAAACTATTAATAATTGCCTCAATTTCTGAGCATGTTATTGGTCCATTCAGAGATTCAACATCTTCCTGGTTTAGTCTTGGGAGAGTATATGTGTCAAGGAATTTATCCATTTCTTCTAGATTTTCTAGTTTATTTGCATAGAGGTGTTTATAGTATTCTCTGATGGTAGTTTGTATTTCTGTGGGATCAGTGGTGATATCCCCTTTGTCATTTTTTATTGCATCTATTTCATTCTTCTCTCTTTTCTTCTTTATTAGTCTTGCTAGTGGTCTACCAATTTTGTTGATCTTTTCAAAAAACCAGCTCCTGGATTCATTGATTTTTTGAAGGGTTTTTTTGTCTCTGTATTTCCTTCAGTTCTGCTATGATCTTAGTTATTTCTTGCCTTCTGCTAGCTTTTGAATGTGTTTGCTCTTGCTTTTCTAGTTCTTTTAATTGTGATGTTAGGGTGTCAATTTTGGATCTTTCCTGCTTTCTCTTGTGGGCATTTAGTGCTATAAATTTCCCTCTACACACTCCTTTGAATGTGTCCCAGAGATTCTGGTATGTTGTGTCTTTGTTCTCATTGGTTTCAAAGAACATCTTTATTTCTGCCTTCATTTCATTGTGTACCCAGTAGTCATTCAGGAGCAGGGTGTTCAGTTTCCATGTAGTTGAGTGGTTTTGAGTGAGTTTCTTAATCCTGAGTTCTAGTTTGATTGCACTGTGGTCTGAGAGACAGTTTGTCATAATTTCTGTTCCTTTACATTTGCTGAGGAGTACTTTACTTCCAACTGTGTGGTCAATTTTGGAATAGGTGTGGTGTGGTGCTGAAAAGGATGTATATTCTGTTGATTTGAGGTGGAGAGTTCTGTAGATGTCTATCAGGTCTGCTTGGTGCAGAGCTGAGTTCAATTCCTGGATATCCTTGTTAACTTTCTGTCTCATTGATCTGACTAATGTTGACAGTGGGGTGTTAAAGTCTCCCATTATTATTGTGTGGCAGTCTAAGTCTCTTTGTAGGTCACTCAGGACTTGCTTTATGAATCTGGGTGCTCCTGTATAGGGTGCATATATATTTAGGATAGTTAGTTCTTCTTGTTGAATTGATCCCTTTACCATTATGTGATGGCCTTCTTTGTCTCTTTTGATCTTTATTGCTTTGAAGTCTATTTTATCAGAGACTAAGATTGTAACCCCTGCCTTTTTTTGTTTTCCATTTGCTTGGTAGATCTTCCTCCATCCCTTTATTTTGAGCCTATGTGTGTCTCTGCATGTGAGATAGGTTTCCTGAATACAGCACACTGATGGGTCTTGATTCTTTATCCAATTTGCCAGTCTGTGTCTTTTAATTGGAGCATTTACCCCATTTACCTTTAAGGTTAGTATTGTTATGTATGAATTTGATCCTGTCATTATGATGTTAGCTGGTGATTTTGCTCGTTAGTTGATGCAGTTTCTTCCTAGCCTTGATGGTCTTTACAATTTGGCAGGTTTTTGCAGTGGCTGGTACCGGTTGTTCCTTTCCAAGTTTAGTGCTTCCTTCAGGAGCTCTTGTAGGGCAGGCCTGGTGGTGACAAAATCTCTCAGCATTTGCTTGTATGTAAAATATTTTATTTCTTCTTCACTTATGAAGCTTAGTTTGGCTGGATGTGAAATTCTGGGTTGAAAATTCTTTTCTTTAAGAATGTTGAATAATGGCCCCTACTCTCTTCTGGCTTGTAGAGTTTCTGCCAAGAAATCAGCTGTTAGTCTGATGGGCTTCCCTTTGAGGGTAACCCAACCTTTCTCTCTGGCTGCCCTTGACATTTTTTCCTTCACTTCAACTTTGGTGAATCTGACAATTATGTGTCTTGGAGTTGCTCTTCTTGAGCACTATCTTTGTGGCACTCTCTGTTTTTCCTGAATTTGAATGCCTTGCTAGATTGGGGAAGTTCTCCTGGATAATATCCTGCAGAGTGTTTTCTAACTTGGTTCCATTCTCCCCGTCACTTTCAAGTACACCAATCAGATGTAGATTTGGTCTTTTCACATAGTCCCATATTTCTTGAAGGCTTTGTTCATTTCTTTTTATTCTTTCTTCTCTAAACTTCTCTTCACACTTCATTTCATTCATTTCGTCTTCCATCGCTGATACCCTTTCTTCCAGTTGATTACATCGGCTACTGAGGCTTGTGCATTCGTCACGTAGTTCTTGTGCCATGGTTTTCAGCTCCATCAAGTCCTTTAAGGACTTCTCTGCATTGATTATTCTAGTTATCCATTCGTCTAATTTTTTTTCAAAGTTCTTAACTTCTTTGCCATTGGTTCAAACTTCCTCCTTTAGCTTGGAGTAGTTTGATCTTCTGAAGACTTCCTCTCTCAGCTCATCAAAGTCATTCTCTGTCCAGCTTTGTTCTGTTGCTGGTGAGGAGCTGTGTTCCTTTGGAGGAGGAGAGGCACTCTGCTTTTTAGAGTTTCCAGTTTTTCTGCTCTGTTTTTTCCCCATCTTTGTTGTTTTATCTACTTTTGGTCTTTGATGATGGTGACGTACAGATGGGTTTTTGGTGTGGATGTCCTTTCTTTTTGTTAGTTTTCCTTCTCACCATCAGGACCCTCAGCTGCAGGTCTGTTGGAGTTTACTGGAGGTCCACTCCAGACCCTGTTTGCCTGGGTATCAGCAGCGGTGGCTGCAGAACAGCGGATATTGGGGAACCTCAAATGCTGCTGCCTGATCCTTCCTCTGGTAGTTTTGTCTCAGAGGAGTACCCGGCCGTGTGAGTTGTCAATCTGCCTCTACTAGGGGGTGCCTCCCAGTTAGGCTACTCAGGAGTCAGGGATCCACTTAAGGAGGCAGTCTGCCCGTTCTCAGATCTCAAGCTGCCTGCTGGGAGAACCACTACTCTCTTCAAAGCTGTCAGACAGGGACATTTAAGTCTGCAGAGGTTATTGCTGTCTTTTGTTTGTCTGTGCCCTGCCCCCAGAGGTGGAGCCTACAGAGGCAGGCAGGCCACCTTGAGCTGTGGTGGGCTCCACCCAGTTCGAGCCTCCCTTCTGCTTTGTTTACCTACTGAAGCCTGAGCAATGGCAGGCGTCCCTCCCCCAGCCTCACTGCCACCTTGCAGTTTGATCTCAGACTGCTGTGCTAGCAATGAGCGAGGCTCTGTGGGCGTAGGACCCTCCAAGCCATGCGCAGGATATAATCTCCTGGTGGGCCGTTTGTGAAGCCTGTTGGAAAAGCGTAGTATTAGGGTGGGAGTGACCCGGTTGTCTAGGTGCCGTCTGTCACCCCTTTCTTTGACTAGGAAAGGGAATTCCCTGACCCCTTGTGCTTCCTGGGTGAGGCAATGCCTCACCCTGCTTCAGCTCACACACGGTGCACTGCACCCACTGTCCTGCACCCACTGTCTGGCTCTCCCCTGTGAGATGAACCCAGTACCTCAGTTGGAAATGCAGAAATCACCCATCTTCTGCATCGCTCACACTGGGAGCTGTACACTGGAGCTGTTCCTATTCGGCCATCTTGGCTCCACCCCCGTAATAACTTTTTAAAAAGATTTTAAATTACTAATATTCAACACTTCATGAAGTTGCATGTAATCCTTGCATAGGGACCACACTAATTTTCTCTGTAGCATTCCAATGTTAGTATACGTGCTGCCGAAGCAAGCACAATATAGTCAATAACAACATAATTGTACATTTTAAAATAGAGAGTGTAAATGGATTATTTGTAACACTAAGAATAAATGCTTGAGGGAATGGATACCCCCAAAAATTATATGGTTAAAAAATATGACTACCTATTGTACACTTAAAAACAGTTAAAATAAAATAGTATGTCTTATAAAAATTTATCAAATCAACATAAAGCACAGAGAATTATTTTAGTAAGATGCAAAATCTTTCCTATCTAGGTTAAAGACAATAAATAGCAAACCAAGGAAATGAAGCCTATCAAAATTGAGAAAACTTTGCTGAGATATTAAAACATGTAATAGCTTTTCAGACTCAGACATTATAAAACAAGTCAAACAAAAATTGCCTTCCAAGTTTGCACTTTCATTATGCTCTTTCATTTTCTGGAACAGACTGACACTGTACTTTATTTTGGAGGTCTGTGAGGTCAGGACTAATTTCATAATATTACTAAGATGTTATTAACATGCAATATATTCATCATTGATAACTTCAAATGAATCAATAAAGAAGCAATTAAATTTTTTCTTAGTTTCAATTTTTAATATGGTAAATATTTGAAGAAATAACTCATAAAACAATGTTCCTTGGAGACCTCAATACATTCAAAGAGTGTATTAGTCAGGGTTCTTTAAAGAGACAGAACTAATAGGATAGACGAATATGAAAAAGGAAGTTGATTAGGAGAATTGACTCATGATTACAAGGTGAAGTCCCACAATGGGGTGTCTGCAAGCTGAGGAACCAGGAAACCAGTCCAAGTCACAAAACCTCAAAATTAAGGAAGCCAGTAGTGTGGCCTTCAGTCTGTGGCTGAAGGCCAGAGAAGGCCCTGGCAAATCACTGATGTCAGTCCAAGAGTACAAAAGCTGAAGAATTTGGAGTCTGATGTTCAAGGACAGGAAGTATCCAGCAAGGGAGAAAGATGGAGGACAGAAGACTCAAGCCAGTCTAGTCCTTCCACATTCTTCTGCCTACTTTTATCCTAGCCGTGCTGGCAGCTGATTAGATAGTGCCCACCTGGATTGAGGGTGGGTTTGCTTCTTGAAGTCACTAACTCAAATGTTAATCTACTTTGGCAACACCCTCCCAGACACACCCAGGAACAATACATTCTTCAATTCAATCAAGTTGATACTCAGTATTAACCATCACAAAGAGTATAAAGAAGTTTAGAAACAAAAACAAAACAAAACAAAACAAAAATCCTCTGAGAACTGCTGCTTTGGGATCATATTAATAGTGTCCATGAGAAACAGAAGCATGTACACAATCATATTTCTCTAAAACTATTGTTCTTAAATATAGTCTCAAACATTTATATTACCTATCATTTTTAATCAAAGTAACTTCTATTTCACAAAGAAAACTGAGGGGTGGGTAACCGAGAATGGCCTGCCACACACCAGCATATAGCAGAGTAGGAGAGTTCATGGATATGCATAACACACATTTTAAAGCCACCCACATCTCATATACAGCATTTCAAAGTGGCAAGAATGAGCATATTATCATGACCTAAAGATACAGTTTTGCGGTCATGTGCAATGGCTCACACTTGTGATCCCAGCACCTTGGGAGGCCAAGGTGGGAGGAGCACTTGAGCCCAGGAATTTGAGACCAGCCTTGGCACCATAGTGAGAACCCATCTCTATAAAATAAAAAATAAAAACGTTAATGGGGTATGTTTTATTTTATTTAGAAATGATGTAGACATCTAGTGAATCCATTGATTAACTCAATTCAGTATGAGTCCGAGGTTTTAAGTTACCTAAAGATCTAGAAAATTATCTGGAAGCTGACATACTGCAAAGCGTAAATACTATTGAAACATAGTTCATCAGAATAATGATTCAATTTGGTTAAATGCAAATTTACATATGTCATAATCTTAAACATTAAGTAATGCTAGTTTAATTGATCAGTAAACCTGCATAAGTCTAGGAAAAACATACCCATGTAGAATGGAAATGTATACTTGTATTATACTTAACACTGATTAATCAGAGAAAAAGACATGGCTATTTTATACAGGCAAAATTATTAAACTGCTCTGGTTTGCCAAAGTATTAGCTAAATTATGTAAACTTGGATTTGTATGCAGTTTTAGTCTTCTGCTTATGACTAGCCATTTATTGCTGCACCATTTATTGAATAGGAATCCTGTCCCCGTTACTTGTCTTTTTCAGGTTTGTCAAAGATCTTATGATTGTATGTGTGTGTTCTTATATCTGTGTTCTCTTTTCTGTTCTATTGATTTATGTGTCTGGTTTTTTACCACTACCATGCTGTTTTAGTTACTGTAGCTCTGTAGTGTAGTTTGAAGTCAGGTAAATTGATGCCTCCAGCTTTGTTCTTTTTGCTAAGATTGCCTTGGGTATTAGGGCTTTTTTTGTTTCTATATGAATTTTAAAATAGTCTTTTCTAGTTCTGTGAAGAATGTCATTGGTAGATTCATAGACATAGCATTGAATCTATAAATTTATTTGGGCAGTATGGACATTTTAATAATATTGATTCTCCCTATCCATGAGCATGGAATGTTTTACCATCTGTTTGTGTCATCTCTGATTTCTTGGAGCAGTGGTTTGTAGTTCTCCTTGTAGAAATCTTTCACTTCCTTAGTTAGCTGTATTACTAGGTAATTTTTGTGTGTGTGTGTGACAATTATGAATGGGAATTCATTCCTGATTTGGCTCTCAGTTTCGCTGTTGTTGGCATATAAGGATGCTAGTGATTTTTGTACATTAATTTTGTATCGGACAACTTTGCTGAAGTTGTTTATCAGCTGGAGGAGCTTTTGGGACAAGACTATGAGGTTTCTTAGATATAGGATCATGTCATCTGCAAACAGAGATAGTTTGAATTCATCTCTTCCTGTTTGGATGTGTTTTTTTCTGTCTGATTGCCCTAGCCATAACTTCCAATACTATGTTGAAGGAGTGGTGAGACAGGACATCCTTGTCTTGTGCAGGTTTTCAAGAGGAATGCTTCCAGCTTTTGCCCATTCAGTGTGATGTTGGCTGTGGATTTGTCATATATGGCTCTTATTATTTTGTGGTATGTTCCTTTAATAGTTTATTGAGAGTTTTTAACATAAAGAGGTGTTGAATTTTATTAAAAGCCTTTTCTGAATCTACTGGGATAATTATGTGGTTTTGTCTTTAGTTCTGTTTATGTGATGAATCACATTTATTGATTTGCACGTGTTAAATCAATTTTGCATCCCAGGGATGAAGCCTACTTGACCAAGGTGAATTAGCTTTTTGATGTGCTGTTGCATGTGGTTTGCAAATAGTCTTTTGAGAATTTTTGCATCAATGTTTATCAAATATATTGGCCCGAAGTTTTCTTTTTTTGTTGTATCTCTGCCAGGTTTTGGTATCAAGATGATACTGGTCTCATAGAATGAGTTAGGGAAAAGTCCCTCCTCCTCAATTTTTTGGAATAGTTTCAGTAGGAATGGTACCAGCTCTTCTTTGAACATCTGGTAAAATTTAGCCGTGAATCTGTCTCGTCCTGACCTCTTTTTTGCTGTCATTGGTAGGCTACTTATTAGTGCCTTAATTTCAAAGCTCATTATTGGTGTGTCCAAGGATTCAATTTATTTCTGGTTTAGTCTTAGGAAGGTTTATGTGTCCAGGAATTTATCCATTGCGTCTAGATTTTCTAGTTTATGTGCATATGGGTATTCATAATATTCTTCAATAGTAGTTTGTATTTCTGTGGGGTCAGTGGTAATATCGCTCTTGCCATTTCTAATTGTGTTTATTTGAATTCTCTCTTTCCTTCTCTATTCTTGTCTGCTTGTCTTATTTTAAAAAGACAGTGTTCAAGCTCTGAGATTCTTTCCTACACTTGGTTTATTCTGCAATAATACTTGTGATTGCATTATGAAGTTCTGTAGTGTGTTCTTCAGCTCTATCATGTTGGTTATGTTCTTCTCTATACTGGCTATTTTGTATGTCAACTCCTGCCATGTTTTACCATGATTTTTAGTTTTCTTGCATTGGGTTACCATGCACTCCTGTAATTCAGTGAACTCCTTTCTTATCACTTATTCTGAATTCTACTTCTGTCATTTCAGTCATCTCAGACTCAGCCAGGTTCCAAACCCTTGGCAGAGAGGTGATGCGGTCATTTGAAATAAAGAAAGTATTCTGACTTTTTGAGTTTTCAGCATTCTTGCACTGACTCTTTCTCATCTTTGTAGACTTATTTACCTTCAATTTTTGAGATTGTTGACCTTTAGATGGTCTTTAAAATTTTATCCTATTTGATGACCTTCAGAGTTTGATTGTTGTATAAGGTGGATTCAGCCAACTGGCTTCATTTCTGGACGATCTTATGGGGCCAACATTCAGCTTCCAACTCCTGGACTGCATGCTCTAACTCTAGGGGACTTGTATTAGGCCCCGGCATTGTTCTCTGACTACTCAAGGTTTGGAGGCTACTGCAGCTGGAGGACTGAGGTGCAGGAGCCATAGCCCAATGTTAGTGGATGCAGGGGTGCCAGCCTCCCTGAAGGAGTTCATCACAGTGACAAAGGGAAGGCAGTTAAGGAGTAGTGGGGGGCCTCTGAGGGAGACTGTGTGTGCTGTTGCACTGGAGGTGATGTTGGTTTGGGGCAGGCTGCTGGCCAGCGCAGGTCTGGGTGCCTTCTCTGTGCCCTGCAAGTAGGAGTGATGGCTCAGGGTGTGGGAGGAGACCCTGTCCTCTGGGCAGCGTTAGCCACAAGATTGGGGAACTGGTGGGGTGGAGCTTGCTGGCTCTGTGTCCACCAAGGCTCCATCTACAATGGTGGTCTGCAGGGGTCATGGGGCTATGGCACTCCCACGTGCTGGCAGGGCAAGTAAAGCAAAACCCGCCTGTGCTGACACACACCAGCAAACTGATGTGGGGAGTTGCTGTGGGTTAAGGGGAACCTGCAGTATAGGGAGGGAACATGCAGGCTGGTGCACAGCTGTAGGGACCACCACATTGGAGCTCTCCACCTGTCAAGCATGATTCAATGGTGCAGAAGCTATGATTTGTAAAATGTTTCTAAGTTGGATTCTTCAAGCATGCATTTTTAGCACACTGAAAATCTTAAATACTCAGTTTCCTTAATTTCTTGGAATTTTAGAAATATTTAATTTATATAAGCATTTATTTATCTGTGTAAGCCATACAGAATAGAGGTCCTTTTATTTATTTTTTTTGAGGTTTCAACATTTTATTCAAGTTTTCTTAAGTGATGTTAATTACAGCATTTGAAGGGGAGGATCTAATTCCACAAAAAATGGAAGACTCTAAAATGTAGCCATTAAATTGCTAAAAAACAAATTGAGTGGTGAGAATACAGCAGAAGTCCAATTTAGATTCTGAGTGCTGTCACCATGTGATTACAATCACACAGACACTCCCAAGCTTATAGCTGGAGCTCCTGGAAGCTATTTCATACTCTGGTGCAAGGGCAAAAAAAAACACAACACAAGAAGGAATAAGTCCTGAATTATTGGTTTCATCACATCTACCTTCTCCACCCCAAAATGGCACAAAAGAAAGAGTGACCACACCCTGCAGACCTTTTGGTGTAAAAGAGATGATGATGAACTGGGGTGGGAACAGGTCATGAAGATCTGTCTAAAAAAGTCCCATTCAGGTGAGCTTGTACACACCATCAAGCAGCGAGCCTCTCATCAATTAGGGTTAGGAAACCATGGTTCGATTCTCAGGAAATCACAATTTCATTCATTTACTCAATATGAATTTACAAAGTGCCTACATATTATCAGCTTCCACTCGCAGCCATCTCTAGATGAAAAAGAAACCTGGCACCTCAAAGGGGCCACCAAGTTCTCCCCGAGTCTACCACTGAAAGAACCTTTTTTGGAAATGCGTTTCTTCTGTACCTCTGGAAGGGTAACATCTTAAAGCTGAATCATCTTTAACCTGGAGGGGTAACATATTTAGCAATACTTGCATCCCAGACATACAACATTAAAAGATAACACTAAATTCTGAAGGTAGCTATGCTGCAAAATAGTTTAAAATTAAACAATTGTACAGTATTCATTTATGCTTGAAATTCCAGTCCTAGACCAAGCTTGTGGCCACCAGCATTGACGTTCTTGCCATCCAGAAGAGCTGACAGTGTCAGTTTGATACCTGGCTTTAGAGTCTGAGTGTATCCTAAACCTATCAGGCTGGAGTTGTTCACTTTAGCCGAGAAGCAGGCGTCAGGGTCAATCTGATACTTGGCTGCTATTCCGAAGCGCGTGTTACTGTTTCCTGCTGTCCAGGCAAGATTGACGGTGGTCTCCAACTTCTTGTTCACTTTCTGGTAAATGGAGCCGCCAAACTCTGTCCCGTCATTCACATTTGTGTGAAGCTGGAATTCATCAGTCTTGTAGCCAATTGCAAAGTTGCTCTGGGTCACTCGGGATTTTGTAGTCTCAAAATTCATCTGATAGCCGGCCAGCCAGCCCTCGTAACCCAGCACCAGAGCACCCCGGATGGAAGGCCCAACAATGTCGAAAACCATGTCGCAGCCCAGGTTAATGTGCTCCCGCTTGTACCCTGTCTTGATTTTAGCATTTTTTTTCCCAGTGTTAGGTGAAAAGGATGAATCGAAGGTCAGCTTCAGTCCACGTGCAAGCTGATCTTCCACAGTAATCTTGGTGCCTAGTGTATTGTCGGTGTTCCATTTCTCTGTAAACGTGAGGCCGTACTCAGTCCATCTGTACTTGGTTTCCAGACTGCCCGTCACTTTGGTGGTCTGTGTTGGCTGAGCTTGAGCTTGTAAATTCCAATCCATTCTCATATTTTGTTTTCAAATCAAGCTTTATTAAGCCAAATCCATAGCCCTCAGTGAAGACATCCCTGGCAGATTTGCCAAGATCAGCATACGTAGGTGGCACAGCCATCTTCTGCTCAGAGGCGGTGGTGGCGGGCTCAGGGGCGGCTACGGCAGGGGCTGCAGCGCGGAGGCAGGGAGGTCCTTTTAACTTAAGTAACTTTATGATATAATTTATTTTTTGAGGTAAACATTACTTGCTTTTATTTATTGTGTTAGAAATAATATAATAATTTATTAACAACATCTGAAGGTAGAAAATCACACGCTCACATGGGAGGTCAAGATCTTTATAAATTACAGGCACATAAATATGCAGACACAGAGGGGTTTACAGCTTCTATTCCAAAATTTCAGCCATGTGGCCAAAAGCAGTGACTCACACCTATAATTCTAGCACTGTGGGAGACCAAGGCAAGAGAATCTCTTGAGCTCAGAAGTTTGAGAACAGCCTGAGCAACATAGTGAGACCACAACTCTACAAAAAAATTTTAAATTAGCCTGGCTTGGTGGTGCACACCTGTAGTCTCAGCTACTTAGGTGGCTGAGGATTGCTTGAGCCCAGGAGATCGAGGCTGCAGTGAGCCGTGATTGTGCCACACCACTCCAGCCTGGGAAACAGATAAAAACCCTGTCTCAAGAAAACAAATAAATAAACAAAAATTTCAGATATTAATTAAGAATAAACACAGAAACATAAAAAATCGCGTCTAGATATCAAAGAGCTAGTCCCCTTCCTGTTAGACAAAAAAAATTCCTAATTATTTGAACTTAATTAAAATAGACAGACAACAAATTGAAAAAAAAAAAACTAACAAATACGATTCCCTGTTGTCTCTCACCCAACATAGATATTATAAACATTTAATCCACTTACACATATCATTGATAAGGGTACAAAATCAAATTCCTCGTGTATGGTCAGACTATAAAACCAAATTCCCAGTAATTACTCCTAGCTATGATACATAACTTATTAGCCACAAATGAACAAAAACAAATGAAATCAAAACACAAAATTAGTAGAGATGAAGATCAAAACTAGATAAATAGGAAGTCAGCAGTGCTGGCGAGGAGTGGTGGCTCACGCCTGTAATCCCAGCACATTGGGAGGCCATGGCAGAAGGATTGCTTTGAGCTCAGGGGTACAATACCAGCTTGGGCAACATGGTGAAACCCCATCTGTACAAAAAATACAAAAATTAGCCAGGCTTTGGTGGCTCATGCCTGTAATCCCAGTTACTCTGGAGGCTGGGGCTGGAGAATCGCTTGAGCTTGGGAAGTGGAGGTTTCAGTGAGCTGAGATCGCACCACTGCACTCCAGCGTGAGTGACAGATTGAGACTCTGTCTCAAAACAACAATAACAACAAAAAGAAAGTCAGCAGTGCTATATTGCCAATTTGGAGTCACCTTTAGAAGCCAAGAAAGACTGGTCTGGGCTTAAACCGCTTATGAGGTGCACTTCTCTCGTTAAGTTTGCTTGGTTCCATTAGAAGAACTCACTAGGCATCTCTGGAAAACTGTTAAGAGACAATTTTCAAAAAAAAAAAAGTAAAATCATGACTGTCATACAAATATGTTATATATTTCATTTAGCCATGAGGAAACAACACAGATATGACTACTGGTTCGAAAGAGACTCTGAAGAACAAATAAATTTAAAGATCAGAAAAATTAAAATAAATGTTCAAATGGAAGCAAAACTGGTTTTTTCTAGTAGGATGAGGGACCAAAAAAGAGAAGTTATTTGGACTTCTGAATAGACAGAATTTGCAAATCCATAAATAAGAAGTATTTTTCATTGTTTCCATTTGTTTACAGTTTACAGAGTTATTAAATAGCTTTTAGAATCAGAAAACTCAGAGAGGTGTTCTCTAGAGTCTAGAAAATGGATTGTTTTCCAGTGAAGCACTTTTTTTTTCTACAGAGCGTGGTCTCTAGAGTCTGTCAAACTTAGGTTTAAAACTCTGCTATTACTGTTCGCTAGTTGTACAACCTAAAGTTCAGTGCATAACTGTTTTCTCCCTCAGTTCCTTCATCTATAAAAGAGTAATAATAATACCATTCTCTTGGGATTGTAAAAGTGTAACGAAATATGCATTAAAGAGTGCCCGTCTTATAGTAACTACTCAATATATAATATTGTTATTAGTAAATTCGTGACTTTTGAACCTAGCTACTTTCTTTTCCTCTTCTGTAACTTTTGTCATAATTTCACAACCCTAAATTATGAGAAGCAGAAAAACACACTGGAAAGAGTATAGATTTCAGACTTAAACAGATCTGAGTTTATATCTAGGTTCAACTATTTATCAACAATGTAATTTCTGGCAAGAGATTTAAACTGTCTATTCTGTTTCCTCATATGTGAAGTGTGATAGTAAAAATTATCTCATATAATTGCTGGAATAATAAAAATAAGACAAAATAGCAAAGTGGTCAGTTTTTGGGGAACAGATGGTGTTTGGTTACATGGATAAGTTCTTTAGTGGTGATTTGTGAGATTTTGGTGCATCCATTACCCAAGCAGTGTACACTGTACCCAATGTGTAGTCTTGTATCCCACAACCCCTCCCACCCTTTCCCTTGAGTCCTCCAAGTCCATTATATCATTCTCAGGACTTTGTGTACTCATAACTTTAGCTCCCACTTATAAGTGAGAACATACTATGTTTTGTTTTACATTCCTGAGTTACTTCACTTAGCATAATGGCCTTCAACTCCATTCAGGTTGCTGTGAATGCCATTATTTCATTCATTTTTATGGCTGGGTAGTATTGCATGGTGTATGTATACCACATTTTCTTTATACACTCGAATTATGGGCGTTTCGGCTGGGTCCATATTTTTGCAATTGCGAATTGTGCTGTTACAAACATGCATGTGCAAATGTCTTTTTCATGTAAAGACTTCTTTTCCTCTGGATAAATACCCAGTAGTGGGATTGCTGGATCAAATGGTAGTTCTACTTTTAGTTCCTTAAGAAATCCCCATACTGTTTTCCATAGTGGTAGTAGTTTACCTTCCCACCAGCAGTGTAAAAGTGTTATCTTTTCACTATCTCTATGTCAACATCTTTTTTTTTTATTTTTTAATTATGAACATTCTTGCAATAGTAAGGTGGTAAAACATTGTGGTTTTGATTTACATTTCCCTGATAATTAGTGATGTTGAGCATTGTTTCATACGTTTATTGACCTTGTGTATATCTTTTTATGAGAATTGTCTATTCATGTCCTTAGCCAACTTTTGATGGGATTGTTTTATATTTTCTTGCTGATTTGAATTCCTTGTAGATTCTGGACACTAGTCTTTTTTCAGATGCAGTTTGGAAAGATCTTCTCCCACTCTGTGGATTGTCTGTTTACTCTACTGATTATTTTTTTGGCTGTGAAGAAGCTTTTTAGTTTAATTAAGTCCCATCTATTTATTTTTGTTTTCGTTGCATTTCCTTTTGGGTTCTTGGTCATAAACTCTTTGCCTAAGCCAATGTCTAGAAGAGTTTTTTTGATGTTATATCCTAGAATTTTGTATGGTTTCATGTCTTAGATTTAAGTCTTTGATCCATCTTGATTTGATTTTTGTATAAAGTGAGAGATGAGGATACGGTTTCATTCTCTACATGTGGCTTGTCAATTATCCCAGCACCATTTGTTGAATAGGATGTCCTTTCCCTACTTTAAGTTTTTGTTTTCTTTGTCAAAGTTCAGTTGGCTGTAAGTATTTGGCTTTATTTTTGGGTTCTCTCTTCCATTGCATTTATCTATGTGTCTATTTTTATATCAGTACCATACTGTTTTAGTGACTATAGCCTCTTGGTATAGTTTGAAGTCAGATAATGTGGTCCCTCCAGACTTGTTCTTTTGCTTAGTCTTGCTTTGGCTATTTGGGCTCTTTTTGTTCCATAAAAATTTTAAGATTTTTTTTTCTAGTTCTGTGAAGAATGGTGATGGTATTTTGATGGGAATTGAATTGAATTCGTAGATTGCTTTTGGCAGTATGGTCATTTTCACAATATGGATTCTACCCATGCATGAGCATGAGATGTGTTTTCATTTGTTTGTGTCATCTATGATTTCTTTGAGCAGTGTTTTATAGTTTTTGTTGTAGAAATCCAAGAAACTGGGTAGCCATATGCAGAAAACTGAAGCTGGACTCCTTTCTTACATGTTACACAAAAATTAACTCAAGATGGATTAAAGACTTAAATGTAAAACCTAAAACCATAAAAACCCTAGAAGAAAACCAAACTGTTTCTGTGAAGCCAGTACCTGATACCGAAGCCAGAAGCCTGATACCAAAACCAGACAAAGACACATCAAGAAAAGTAAACTACAGGCCAATATCTCTGATAATATTGATGCAAAAATTCTCAACAAAATACTAACAAACTGAATTCAACAACATATTAGAAAGACCAAGTGGGATTTATTCCTGTAATGCAAGGATGGTTTAACATATGCAAATAAATGAATGGGATACATCGTATCAACAAAATGAAAGATAGAAACTGTATAATCATTCAATTGATGCTGAAGAAGCATTTGATAAAATTTGATAAAATTCAACATCTTTTCATGATAAAAGCCCTCAAAAACTGGGTATAGAAGGAACATAACTCAACGTAATAAAAGAGAAATATGGCAGACCCACAGCTAGCATCTATCCTACTGAATGGGGAAAAACATAAATTTTTTTTCTAAGTTCTGGGACATGACAAGGATACCCACTGTCAACATTGTTATTCAACATAATAAGAGGGATATATAAAGGGCATCCAAATTGAAAACTAAATACTAAAATTATCTAGATAATGTGATCTTATATTTGCAAAATCTTAAAGACTCCACAGGAAAATCATTGGAACTGATAAACAAATTTAATAAAGTTGCAGGATACAAAATCAACATTAAAAAACATTAACATTTCATTATGCCAACAGTGAACAGTGTGAAAAAAAAATCAAGAAACTAATCCTATTTACAATAAAATTTACTAATAAAATTTAATATCAAAGAATTAACCAAAGAAGTAAATTATCTTTATAGTAAAAACTATAAAACACTGATGAAAGAAAATGAAGAGGACACCACCAAAAAAAAGAAAAAAAAATATGTATGTGGATTGCAAGAATAAATATTGTTTAAATGGCCTTACTTTTCAAAGCAATATATAGATTCAATGCAATCCCTATCAAAATACCAATGACATTCTTCACAGAAATAGAAGAAAACTATTCTAAGATTTATATGAAACAACAAAAGACCCAGAATAGCCTAAGCTATCCTGAGCAAAAAGAACATAACTGGAGAAATCATATTACCTAACTTTAAATCATACTACAGAGCTATAGTAACCAAAACAACATGGTACTTACATAAAAACAGACACATAGAGCAACGGAAAACAATAGAGAACCCAGAAACAAATCTACACACCTAATGTGAACTCATTTTTGACAAAAGTGCTGAGAATACACATTGGGTAAAACACAATCTCTAAGATAAATGGTGCTGGAAAAACTGGATATCCATATGCAGAACAATAAAGCTAGACTCCTATATATCAAAATATACAAAAGTCTAATGAAACTGGATTAGAGACTTAAACCTAGGACCTCAAAGTATGAAACTATTACAAAAAACTTTGTGGAAGCTCTCAAGGAGATTGGACTGGGCAAAGATTTCTTGAGCAATATCCCACAAGCACAACCAATTGAAGCAAAAATAGACAAATGGGATCACATCAAGTTAAAAAGCTTCTGCACTGCAAAAAATACAACCAACAAAGTGAAAAGTAAATGTACAGAATGGGGAAAATATTTACAAGATAGCCATGTGACAAGGGAGTTATAACCAGAATATATAAAGAGCTCGAATAGCTCTAGAGGAAAAAGTCTAATAATCTGATAAAAAATGGGCAAAAATTTGAATAGACATTTATCATAAGAAGACATACATATTGGAAAACAGGTATATGAAAAGGTGCTCAGCATCATTGATTATCAGAGAAACACAAATCAAAACTACAATGAGAAATCACCTCACTCCAGTTAAAGTGGCTTATATTTAATAGACAGACAATAACATGCTGGCAAGGATATGGGGGAAAGGGAAGCATTGTATATAGTTAGTGGGAGTGTAAATTAGTACAACTACTATGAAGAAGAGTTTGGAGGTTTTTCTAAAAACTAAAAGTTGAGCTACCATATGATTCCAGCAATCTCACTGCTGGGTGTATACCCAGAAGAAAGGAAATCTGTATATCAAAGAGATATCTGCACTCCTATGTTTGTTGCAGCACTGTTTACAATAGCTAAGATTTGGAAGCAACCTAAGTTTCTATCAACTGATGAATGGATAAAGAAATTGTGGTACATATACACAATGGAGTAATATTCAGCCATAAAAATATAAGATTCAGTCATTCACAGCATCACGGATGGAATGGGAGATCATTATGTTAAGTGCAATAAGCCAGGTGGAGAAAGACAAACATTGCATGTTTTCACTTATTTTTCAGATCTAAAAATTAAATCAATTAAAGTAATGGACAAAGAGAGTAGAAAAAAGGTTACCAGAGCCTAGGAAGAGTAGTATGGGGTTGAGGGGTGTGTGGGAATGGTTAATGGGTATAAAATAATTAGAAAGAATGAATAAAACCTACTATTTTATAGCACAAATATAGTCAATAATACCTGAATTGTACATTTTAAAATAACTCAAAGAGTGCAATTGGATCGCTTGCAACTCAAATAATAAATGCTTGAAGGGATAGATACCCCATGCTCCATGATGTGCTTATTTCACATTGCAAGCCTGTATCAAAACATCTCATGTATTCCATAAATATATAAACCTACTATGTATCCATAAAAATAAAATAAAATAAAAATAAAAAACTTTTAAATTTATTTGTATTAAAAACGAAATGAAAAAGAGGACATTATAACTGATACCATACAAATAAAAAAAAGCATTCTAGACTACTATGAGCAACTCTCTATTCACAACTTGAAAACTTAGAGGAAATGGATAAATTCCTGGAAATATACAACTCTCCAAGATTGAATCAGGAAGAAATAGAAATCCCAAACACACAAATAAAAAGTAGTGAGATAGAAGCCATAGTAAAAATTCCCTCAACGAAACAAAAAACAGGATTAAATGGATTCACATTCTAATTCTATCAGATTTACAAAGACGTCCCGATGCAAATCCTCCTGAAACTTTTCTAAAAAATTGTGGCAATGACTCCTCTCTTACTCATTCTACAAAGCCATTAACACCCTGTTTCTTTAAAAATGTATTGAGGTATGATTGAGATACAAAATGTTGTATATATTTAATGCATATAATTTGATAAGTTTGTGAATACGTATAAGCTCTGAAACCATCATCACAGTCTATGCCATAAATGTATTCATCACTTCCAATTTTTTTTTTTCTGATTTCTTTTTTCTTTTTTTCTTTTTTTTTGAGACGGAGTTTCACTCTGTTGCCCAGGCTGGAATGCAGTGGCACCATCTCGGCTTACTTCCACCTCCACCTCCTGGGTTCAAGAGATTCTTCTGCCGCAGCCTCCAGAGTAGCTGGGACTATAGGCCAGTGCCACCATGCCCGGCTAATTTGTTTTTTTTTTGTATTTTTAGTAGAAATGGGATTTCACCATATTGGCCAGACTGGTCTCGAACTCCTGACTTTGTGATCCGCCTGCCTTGGCCTCCTAAAGTGCTGGAATTACAGTCATGAGCAACCACACCCGGCCTTCTGATTTCTTTATTCATTATTATTATCGTTAGTTGTTTTGTGATATGAAAACTTCACATAAAATTTACTGCCCTCTTAGGAAATCTTTAAGGGCACAATAGCATATTGTTAACTACAGTGTACAATATAGTATTGATAACTATAATATTGCACATGCACTATCCTGTACAAAACTATGTGTCGTTTGACTAAACCTTCCATGTTGCACTTGTTTCTTACGAGGAATGAAAATCGCATCAAAATTATAATTTTCCAAAGAGAAATTTTTATGTGTGATTGTTTTCCCAAATCATCAAGTTTAACTTTGATGTATGTTTTCACCTTCTTGTAAATCACAGAAATCATTATAGATATCTTGTTTTAAATCCTCTTTACTTTTAATTTAGCGCATTTGAATCTCCTAAATGCACATATCACTGCAGTTCCAGTCGACATTTATTTTTGTTTCTGTTAATATTTAACTGAATAACCAGCCTGTTAATCTGACTTGATTTACTACTATTATATATTCTAACAATTGAAATAATAATATTAACATTATCTATTACAAATGTAGGCTGATTTGCAGATAAGATACTGATTTCATATGTTCTACAAAATTCAGCTTCTATGCTCATCTGTACTTTGCATTTTTCTTCAATAAGTTTTTGCATAAGACCTCTATTAGACTAAATTAATATCAGAGAACTGGTGTGATGTTAATGATGAAAATATGCAAAGGAGGCTGATATATTAGTATTCACAATTATTAGGATCTTGGAAGGTAAGAATTGCACTGTCTTAACTTAGTAACTGCCAGGGGATGATCTTTATGATTTCTTGGGTACTGACTATGGCTACTATGTAATAATTTTACCCAGAAAAATGTGGGAATAAATTAAAATCAATTTAATTACTACTAGGGCTATTTTTTCTTAAGTTAAATTGACTTAAAATCACTAGTCAGATTTAAATAATCTTTTATTCCTTAGAAAAGTTATATCCATGCCATTGGTATTAACCATAATTCATGTTCTTCATGACTCAAAGGTAAACATCAATTTCAGTTTAGAGACCACATGATGTAAAATTATTTATGTTTGCAAACAAAAATGAAATAAAATAGACGAAAATGTTAACATTGGGCATCCCTGGCCAGTGACATTATGAGATACTTAATTTTTTTTTGTATTTTGAAGAATTTAAACATTTTCCAATATAGAACAAATTAAAACACTAATTTTGTTTAAAGTACAATGAAATAACATGACTGATTTTCCAAATTTCCCACTTTTCCAAATGTTAACTACTAAACGTTTACCTGTGGATAACTTGAACTTAGTTCAGTCCCAAGTTCCGGGGCAGGCTTGAGTAAATGAAGGGTGAAGAGAAGGAAATTTATGACAGTAACTTACTGGCCACATTTCTTATATCTGCTACAGGTGCCACTCTGACCTTGATAATTGAGTTTCTTTTGTACCCCAATCTGCAATGTCCAAGTCTCTGTCATTTCTTAGTGGGCATCCCTGATGTTGACAACCTGAGTGCTAGACTTCTGTCATCATTTAGATGTGTAAATTCAGGAAAAACTGGCTTCTGTGGGTCACAATTTAATATTTATTTTATATTCTAGTTACATTAGAAATTTGAGATCTTCCTGGGAGGAAGTTACGAACAACTTTACGGGATTCAGAATTATGGCAAACATTATTCAGATTTTGTGCAAATGTGCATTTTTAGGACAGAGGGTGTCTAACAATCATCAGATTCTCAAAAGGACTGTGTGTAAAGCCATTCTTGCATTGCTATAAAGAAATACCTGAGACTGGGTAATTTATAAAGAAAAGAGGTTTAATTGGCTCATGGTTATGCGGGTTTTACAGGAAGCATGGTGCTGGCATTTGCTCAGCTTCTCGCTTCCAGGGAGGCCTCAGGAAGCTTAATATCATGGCAGGAGGTGAAGGGGGATAAGGTATGTCACATGCTGACAACAGGGGCAATGGAGAGAGAATAGGGGGATGAGGTGCCACATACTTTAAAATGACCAGATCTCATGAGAGTTCACTATCATGAAGACAGCAGCAAGCCATGAGGGATTCATTGCCATGATCCAAACATTTCTCACAAGACCCATCTTCATAACTGGGGATTGTAGTTCAACATGAGATTTGGGCAGGAACAAATATCCAAACTACATCAGACTGTAATTCCAAAAAGGTTAAGATATGAGATAAAACTTTATTCATTTACACAGAGATAATTTTAAAACAGAGAGATGATAGATAGAGGCAGAGTGAGAATGAGATGACATTATTTGACCATTTACTAGGTGCTTAGCTCTCTACATAAATTAGCTCATGTAATCCATACAACTCCCATATGAGGTAAATAACAATGACCATAATTTTTCCATTTTAAAATAAGAAAACAGATCATTAGATAAGTAAAATCACTGGAAAGTCACATAACTAGTGGAGATGGAATATGAAATTATTGTTTTCTGACTTCAAGAGTTATCACCACTGTGCCACTGTTTCTCAAACTGCAGAGTTTCTGTTATCTCTGGGGATCCACCAATGTATTTTCAAAGTCTAAGAGTCCTCTATGAGAGTAAGGTTTGTATTTTTATTTTGTTGATAATTTAGAATAGAGTCAGTACAATATATTTTGAATCATTGGAATAACCCTCTTGTAATTGAAACTGCTGTATGATTTCATTGATTTCAGGATTCATGTTTACAGTTTCTTAGTGATAGAATTAGCACCAAAAGATCACATAAATTGACAATTTTTAAATTTTATTGTGATTTTTAAAAAACTGAGACATCTAAAGATATATTCTTAGGCGTTCTTGAGTTCTCAAGTCTGAGAAACACTATGTTATAATTTTCCATCATTTATTTACTAATTCATTAAATATTAAGAACTTATAATGTGCTAGATGTCTCAAAAAACAAACCAAGTAAACAAAGTGTTTAAAGCAGAAGTGGGTAATCAGCTGTGTCAAATGCTGCTGATGGGTAGAATTAGATGAGGACTAAGAACCGAACATCACATTTGGTAACACATAGATGAGGACTAAGAACTGAACATCAAATTTGGTAACATGTAGGTTATTAGTGACTTTAACAAGAGATTTTTTAATGGAGTGATGTGGAAAAGTCCTTACTGGAGTGGATGGAGAAGTCAATGGTGACGTAGGCAAGTAAAAACAAAACTCTTTTAAAGACTTTTGTTCTTTTTTTAAAGAATATATTTTGTTGTGTATATTTAGGGTATACGATATGTTTGTTATGGGATATATATAGATAGTAAGAAGGTTACACAGTGAAGCAAATTAACATATCCATTATCTCACATTGTTACCCACTTTGTTTATGTTGCATGAGCAGATAAAATCTACTCATTTGGCATAAATCCCATATTATAATATAATTTTGTTACTTATAGTCCTTGTGTTGTACATTAGATCTCTAGACTTGTTCATCCTACATACCCATTCTCTGCCCTCAACACCACCATCCCTAGTAACCGGTTTTTTTTATTTTTTATCTCTATATATTTGAATTTTTAAAAGATTCCACATGTAAGTGAGATTATGCAGTATTTTTCTTTCTGTGTCTAGCTTAGCTTATTTCACTTAGCATAATGTCCTCCAGGCTCATCTGTGTTGTGGAAACATCTTGTTCCTTTTTAGAGCTGAATAATATCCCTTTGTATATACTTAACAGCAGTTTCTTTATCCATTTGTTAAATGATGAATATTTAGATTGCTTTCATATCTTGCCCACTGTGGCTAGTGCTGCAACAAACATGAGATTGCAGATATTTTTATGAGGTGGTGGTTTCATTTTCTTTGAGTATGTGGTGAAATGACAGACTGATGGGTCATATGATAGTTCTCTTTTTAGTTTTTTAAGGAACCTTCATAGTGTTTTCCATGATGGCTGTACCAATCTACATTTGCACCAACAGTGTACAAGAGTTCTCTTTTATCCACAGTCTTGCCAACATTTGTTAACTTTTGACTTTTTGATAATAGCCATCCTAACAGGTGTGAGGCGATATATCATTACGGTTTTGATTTCATTTCCCTTATGATTAATGACATTGAGCACTTTTTTCATATAACTGTTGGCCATTTTTTCTGTCTTCTTTGGAGAAATATCTGTTCAGATCTTTTGTTCATTAAAAAAATTAAGTTATTTGTTTTTCCACCATTGAGTTATTGGAGTTCTTTATGAATTTTGGCTATGTAACACCCTTATCAGATAAATGGTTTGCAATTTTTTTTCTCAATCAATAGACTGATGTTTCATTTTGTTTATTGTTTCCCTTGCTGTGCACAAAGTTTTTAGTTTGATGTAGTCCCATTTATTTTTGCCTTAATGGCCTGAGCTTTTGGTGTAATATCCAAAAATCGTTGTCAAGGCCAATGTCCAGGAGCTTTTTTCTTATGTTTTCTTCTAGGAGTTTTACAGTTTCTGATCTTATATTTAGGTCTTTTATCTATTTTTAGTTGATTTTTGTGTATGGCACAAGATAAGGGTGCAGTTTTATACTTTTGCATGTGGAAATCCAGTTTTCCCAGCACCATTTATTGAAGAGATGATCCTTTCCTTATTGTGTCCTCTCGATGCCCTTGTGAAAAATTAGTTGACCACATATGTTTGGGTTTATTTCTGGGCCCTCTGTCCTGTTCCACTAGTCTATATGTCTGTTTTTATGCCAGTTTCATACTGTTTTGATTGCTATAGGTTTGCAGTATAATTTAAATTAGGAGGTATGATGCCTCCAACTTTGTTTTTCTTTCTCAGAATTGTTTTGGCTATTTGGAGTCTTTTATGGCTCTATACAAATTTTAGAATTTTTTTTTAATTTTTGTGAAGAATGACTGGGATTTTGATAGGGACTTCATTGAATCTGTGTATTACTTTTGGTAATATAGACATTTTAACAATAATAATCATTCTGAGCTGTGAGCACAAAGTATGCTTCAATTTATTTTACATCCTTGATTAAACCTAGGTATTTTTGATGCAATTATAAATGGAATTATTTTCTTTATTTCTTTTTTCTGTTAGATTGTTATTTGTATATAAAAATGCTACAGATTTTTGTATTTCAATTTTGTACTCTGCAATATTATTGAAGTCATTATTAGTTCTAACTGTTTTTCTTGTGTAATCTTTGGAGTTTTTTTTAAATATAGGATTATATGATCTGCAAATACAGATAGTTTTACTTTTTGGTTTCTAATTTATTTACCTTTTATTTCTTTTTCTTCTCTGATTGTTATTGCAAGTACTTTCAGTACTATGTTGAATAGAATTGGTGAGTGTGGGCCTTCTTTTGTTGTACCATATCTTAGTGGAAAAGCTTTCAGTTTTCCCCCATTGGCTGTAATGTCAGCTGTTGGTTTTTCATAAGTGACCTTTATCATGTTGAGGAAATCTTCTATACCTAATCTGTTGAGAGCTTTTATCAAGAAAAGATGTTGGACTTTGCCAAATGCTTTCTTTATGTCAATTGAGATAATCATGTGATTTCTATATTCCATCCCATTAATGTGATGTATCACACTGATTGATTTGTGTGTGTTAAATGAGACTTGCAAGCCAGAAATAAATCCCAGTTGGGATTTATTTTTTTATGAGGTGGATTTGGTCAGCTAATATTTTTTATGAAGTGGATTTGGTTAGCTAATTTTTTTATGAGGTGGATTTGGTCAGCTAATATTTTAATGAGGATTTGTGTTATTATTGCTCATTAGAGAAATTTGCCTGTAATGCTTACTTTTTTAAATTATGTCTTTTTTCAGCTGCAGTATCAAGTTGATGCTCACCTTATGAAACGTGTTTGGTAGTATTCCCTCCAGCTCTATTTTTTGAAAGAGCTAAAGAAATATTGGTATTAACTTTTCTTCAAATGTTTGATAGAATTCAGCTGTGAAGCCACACTTGCTTCTTTTAAAATTCTCTTTGTGTTTGATTTTTGACAGTTTGCTTATTGTGTATTTCAGAGGGAACCTCTTTGAGCTGAATCTATTTGGAAACTTTTTAGCTTCATGGATCTAAATATCCATATCTCTCTTGAGACTTAAGAAGCTTTCAGCAATTATTTTATTAAATAAGCCTTCTGTCCATTTCTCTGTCTCTTTTCCTCTGAAACCCCCATAATGCAAATACTTGTTTACTTAATGGTGCCCCATAAGTCCCATAGGATGTCCTCACATTTGTTTCATTCTTTTTTCCTGACTGAGTCATTTCAAGAGGCCTGTCTTCAAGTTCATAGATTTTTTTCCTTTGGCTTCACCCAGTCTGCTTCTGAAGCTCTCAGTTGTATTTCTTATTTTATTGATTGAATTTTTCAGCTTCAAGATTTCTGGGTTTTCTTTTAGTGATATCTATCCCTTTGTTGAATTTCTCATTCAAATCATAAATTGTCTTTCCGATTTCAGTAAATTGTCTATGTGTATTCTCTTGTGTCTTGTTGAGTTTCCTCAAGATTATTATTTTGAATTCTTTTTTCAGGCAATTCATACATTTCCATTTCTTTGAGTTACTGGAGAATTATCACATTCATTTGGTGGTGTCATTTTTTCTTGCCTTTTTACATTTCTGGTGTCCTTGCATTGATATCTCTGCATCTGGTGGTGTAGTGGCCTCTTCCAAATTTTACAAATTGGCTTTCATAGGGGAAGATTTTCACCCGCAAATGGGCTTGAAGGTGCTGCTTGGGTACGGTGTGGTGGCTCTGGTTTCATTTGTGTGCAGTGGTGTAGCCTCTGTGCAGGTTTTTCAGTTGTGACAAACATTAGTGATAACTGCATGTGCTTAGTGTTCTAGGCTGCAGCAGTGCCAGTAGCTGTGTAGATTATTAAGGTCAGGGTTTTGGGGATGTTTTTTCTTGTATTCCTTACAGATGGGAGACTTTTAGCTGAGGAAATCTCTGTTGGAATTGGGTCTGACATGACTCACAGGCAGCCATGGTGCACTGGGATCCATGGCACCGGTGTTCAGAGTGGCTGTGGAGCCATATTTCTGGGCTCAGTTTCTTGGAAAACTTCCTGGAACTTGAAGCATAGGTTTACTCTCCAAGACACAAGTGGGCGCAGTTCTTCTACTAGCCAGGATCTGTTGCTCTGAGGCAAACCTCAGAAGTTTGGGCTCAAATGGTGAGAAAGTAGCTGTGGTTCTAATCCTGGGGGAACAAGTCACACCACTGGCATGGCTCTGAGGAAGAAGAGGGGTCCAGAGGCTTGGGCCATTAGGAGCAGCCAGAGGCTTTGGGAAAAGGTCATAGAGAAAAGGAAATCTCCAGCTGAACTTTAACAATTTGAACTGATTGAGAAGCCTCCTTGCCAGAACTCAAGGGATGGCATGAATCCAGTGTGCAGAATCCACAGGTGGGGGAAGAAAGAAAGGCATATTTGCTTTCACAACTGGGAGGCTGGTAGCATGGGGCAAGTTCTCAGCCCTGCTTGCCCACTGTCTAGAAAAAAACTTGGTGCTGTTATGGAGGGCACGATGTGAGTAAGGCTGGTCCTTTCAGATTGCATGAGAGCTGGGTGAAGCCTATGACTGCTGGCTTTCCCCCACTTCCCTGACAACCTGCATAACACAGCAGAAGCAGACATAATCCTCCTTAGGAACATAACTTTATTGACCTGGGTACCACACCCCCATCCCCCATAGAAGCTGCAGCAAGTCCTGTCAAAGGAGAGTCTGAGCTCAGAAATACCTACCTCCTCTCCCACCCAATGGTCCTTCCCTGCTCACCGTGGTAACTAAAGACAAAGGATATATACTCTTGGGAGTTCTAGGGCCCCACTCACCACCTGTTCCTCACCATACTACCACAGCTGATGCTTTCTGGAAAGCGCCACCTTCTGGGAGGAGGCCAGCTGGCACAAAAATAGTGCATTGAACTACCAAAGCTAAGAACCCTCGCAGAGTCCATTTCACCCCCCAGCCACCTCCACCAGAACAAGTGCTGGTATACATGACTGAGAGACCCATAGACAGTTCATATCACCGGACTCTGTGCAGATAAACCCTAATACCTGCTCGAAGCCTTATAGACTTGCTGGGTGGCTAGATCCACAAGAGAGATAACAATAATTGACAGCTCAACTTCCAGGAAGTCACATCAATAGGAAAAAGGGGAGAGTACTACATCAAGGGAATCCCCCATGGGACAAAAGAATCTGAACAAAAGCCTTCAGCCCTAGATTTTCCCTCTGACAGAGCCTACTCAAATGAGAAGGAACCAGAACACCAACTCTGGTTACATGACAAAACAAGGTTCTTTAATACCCCCAAAAAACCACACTAGTTAACCAGCAATGGGTCCAAACCAAGAAGAAATCCCTGATTTACCTGAAAAAGAATTCAGAAGGTTCAATATTAAACTAACTGGGGAGGCCCCAGCGAAAGGTAAAGCCAAATGTAAGGAAATTCAAAAAATTATAAAAGAAGTGAAGAGAGAAATAGTCAAGGAAATAGATAGCATAAAGAAAAAACAATCAAAACTTCAGGAAACATTGGACACACTTGTAAAAATGCAAAATGCTGTGGAAAGTCTCAGCAATAAAATTGAACAAGTAGAAGAAAGAAATTCAGAGCTCAAAGACAAGATCTTTGAATTAACCCAATCAAACATAGACAAAAAATGAAAATAAAAAATATATAAATAAAGCCTCCAAAAAATCTGGGATTATGTTGAATAACCAAACCTATGAATAATCGGTGTTCCCAAAAGCTAAGAGAAATCTAACAGTTTCAAAAACATATTTGGGGGAATAATAGAGGAAAATTTGCCCAGCCTTGCTAGAGACCTAGACATCCAAATACAACAAGCACAAACACCTGGGAAATTCATTGCAAAAAGATCATTGCCTAGGCACATTTTCATCAGGTTATCTAAAGTTAAGACAAAGGAAATAATCTTTTTTTATTATTCTTATACTTTAAGTTCTGGGATACATGTGCAGAACTTGCAGGTTTGTTACATAGGTATGTGTGTGCCATAATGGTTTGCTGCACCCATCAACCCATCATCTACATTAGGTATGTCTCCTAATGTGATCCCTCCCCTATCCCCTACCCCACGACAGACCCCAGTGTGTGCTATTCCCCTCCCTGTGTCCATGTGTTCTAGTTGTTCAACTCCCATTTATAAGTGAGAACATGCAGTGTTTGGTTTTCTGTTCCTGTGTTAGTTTGCTGAGAATGATGGTTTTCAGCTTCATCTATGTCCCTGCAAAGGACATGAACTCATCCTTTTTTATGGCTGCATAGTATTCCATGGTGTATACGTACCAGTCTATCATTTAATCCAGTCTATCATTGATGGGCATTTGGGTTGGTTCCAAGTCTTTGCTACTGTGAACAGTGCTGCAATAAGGATACATGTGCATATGTCTTTATAGTGGAATGATTTATTATCTTTTGCATATATACCCAGTAATGGAATTGCTGGGTCAAATGGTATTTCTGGTTCTAGATCCTTGAGGAATCGCCACAGTCTTCCACAATGTTTGAACTAATTTACACTCCCAGCAACAGTGTAAAAGCATTCCTATTTCTCCACATCCTCTACAGCATCTGTTGTTTCCTAACTTTTTAATGATCGCCATTCTAACTGGCATGAGATGATATCTCATTGTGGTATTGATTCGCATTTATCTAATAATCAGTGATGATGAGCTTTTTTTCATGTTTTTTGGCTGCATAAATGTCTTCTTTTGAGAAGCGTCTGTTCATATCCTTTGCCCACTTTTTGATGGGGTTGTTTGTGGGGTTTTTTTTTTTTTTGTAAATTTGTTTAAGTTTCTTGCATATTCTGGATATTAGCCCTTTGTCAGATGAACAGATTGCAAAAATTTTCTCCCATTCTGTCGGTTGCCTGTTCACTCTGATGATAGTTTCTTTTGCTGTGCAGAAGCTCTTTAGTGTAATTAGATCTCATTTGTCAATTTCGGGTTTTGTTGCCATGGCTTTTGGTGTTTTAGTCACAAAGTCTCTGCCCATGCCTATGTCCTGAATGGTATTGCCTAGGTTTTCTTCTAGGGTTTTTATGGTTTTAGGTCTTACATTTAAGTCTTTAATCCACCTGGAGTTAATTTTTGTATAAGGTGTAAGGAAGGGGTCCAGTTTCAGTTTTCTGCATATGGCTAGCCAGTTTTCCCAACATAATTTATTAAAGAATCATTTCCCCATTGCTTGTTTTTGTCAGGTTTGTCAAAGATCAGATGGTTGTAGGTGTGTGGTGTTATTTCTGAGGCCTCTGTTTTGTTCCATTGGTCTATATGTCTGTTTTGGTACCAGTATCATGCTGTTTCGGTTACTGTAGCCTTGTAGTATAGTTTGAAGTCAGGTAGTGTGATGCCTCCAGCTTTGTTCTTTTGGCTTAGGATTGACTTGGATATACGGGCTCTTTTTCAGTTCCATATGAAATTTAAAGTAGTTTTTCTAAATCTGTGAAGAAATTCAATGGTGGCTTGATGGGGATAGCATTGAATGTATAAATTACTTTGGGCAGTATGGCCATTTTCACGATATTGATTATTCCTATCCATGAGCATGGAATGTTTCTCCATTTGTTTGTGTCCTCTCTTATTTCCTTGAGCAGTGGCTTGTAGTTCTCCTTGAAAAGATCCTTCATATCCCTTGTAAGTTGTATTCCTAGGTATTTTATTCTCTTTGCAGCAATTGTGAATGGGAGTTCACTCATTATTTGACTCTCTCTTAGTCTATTTTTGGTGTATAGGAATGTTTGTGATTTTTTCACATTGATTTTGTATCCTGAGACTTTCTGAAGATGTTTATCAGCTTAAGGAGATTTTGGGCTGAGACTATGGGGTTTTCCAAATATACAATTATGTCATCTGAAAACAGAGAAAATTTGACTTCCTCTCTTCCTATTTGAATACCCTTTATTTCTTTCTCTTGCCTTATTGCCCTGGCCAGGTGTTAATATATCCAATATTATGTTGAATAAGAGTGGTGAGAGAGGGCATTCTTGTCTTGTGCCGATTTTCAAAGGGAATGCTTCCAACTTTTGCCTATTCAGTATGATATTGGCTGTGGGTTTGTCATAAATAGCTCTTATTATTTTGAGATATGTTCCATCAATACCTAGTTTTTTGAGAGTTTTTAACATGATGGGGTGTTGAATTATATCGAAGGCATTTTCTGAATCTATTGAGATAAACATGTGTTTTTTTGTCATTGGTTCTGTTTATGTGATAGATTACGTTTATTGATTTGCATAAGTTCAACCAGCCTTGCATCCCAGGGATAAAACCACCTTGATTGTGGTGGATAAGCTTTTGACGTGCAGCTGGATTCAGTTTGCCAGTATTTTATTGAAGATTTATGCATCGATGTTCATCAGGGATATTGGCCAAAAAATTTTTTTGTCGTTGTTGTGTCTCTGCCAGGTTTTTGGTACCAGGATGATGCTGGCCTCATAAAATGAGTTAGGGAGAAGTCCCTCTTTTTGTATTGCTTGGAATAGTTTCAGAAGGAATGGTACCAGCTCCTCTTTGTATCTCTGATAGAATTTGGCTGTGAATCCGTCTGGTCCTGGGCTTTTATTGGTTGATAGGCTATTAATTACTGCCTCAATTTCAGAACTTGTTATTTGTTTATTCAGGGATTCGACTTCTTCCTGGTTTAGTCTTCAGAGATTGTATGTGTCCAGGAATTTATCCATTTCTAATTTTTCTAGTTATTTGTGTAGAGGTGTTTGTAGCATTCTCTGATGTTAGTCTGTATTTCTGTGGGATCAGTGGTGACATTCCCTTTATCATTTTTTATTGTGTCTATTTGATTCTTCTCTCTTTCTTCTTTATTAGTCTGGCTAGTGGTCTATTTTGTTGATTTTTTCAAAAACAAGCTCCTGGATTCATTGATTTTTTGAAGGTTTTTTTTTTTGTCTCTACCTCCTTCAGTTTTGCTCTGATCTTAGTTATTTCTTGTCTTCTGCTAGCTTTTGAATTTGTTTGCTCTTGCTCTGCTGACTCTTCTCTAGTTCTTTTAATTGTGATGTTAGGGTGTCAATTTTAGATCTTTCATGCTTTCTGATGTGGGAATTTAGTGCTATACATTTCCCTCTAAACACTGCTTTATTTGTGTCCCAGAGATTCTAGTACATTGTGTCTTTGTTCTCATTGTTTTCAAATAACTTATTTATTTATGCCTTAATTTTATTTGCCCAGTAGTCACTCAGGAGCAGGTTGTTCAGTTTCCATGTAGTTGTGTGATTTTGAGTGAGTTTCTTAATCCTGAGTTCTAATGTGATTGCGCTGTGGTCTGAGAGACTGTTTTTTATGATTTCCATTCTTGTACATTTGCTGAGGAGTGTATTACTTCCAAATTCGTGGTCAATTTTAGAATAAGTGCTATGTGTTGCTGAGAACAATGTATATTCCGTTGATTTGGGGCAGAGAGTTCTGTAGGTGTCTATTACGTCTGCTTGGTTCAGAGCTGAGATCAAGTCCTAAATATCCTTGTTAACATTCTGTCTCATTGATCTGCCTAATATTGACAGTAGGGTGTTAAAGTCTCTCACTGTTATTGTGTGGGAGTCTAAGTCTCTTTGCAGCTCTCTACAAACTTGCTTTAGGAATCTGGGTGCTCCTGTATTTGGTGCATATATATTTAGGATACTTAGCTCTTGTTGTTGCATTGATCCCTTTACCATTATGCAATGCCCTTCTTTGCCTTTTTTGATCTTTATGGGTTTAAAGTCTGTTTTATCAGAAACTAGGTTCCAGGATTACAACCTCTGCTTTTTTTTTTTTTTTTTTTTTTTTTTTTTTTTTTTTTTGCTTTCCATTTGCTTGGTAAATATTTCTCCATCCCTTTATTTTGAGCCTATGTGTGTCTTTGTATGTGAGATGTGTCTCCTGAATATAGCACACCAATGGGTCTTGACTCTTTATCCAATCAATTTGCCAGTCTGTGTCTTCTAATTGGAGCATTTAGCCCATTTACATTTAAGGTTAATATTACTATATGTGAATTTAATCCTGTCATTGTGATATTAGCTGGTTGTTTTGCCCATTAGTTGATGCAGTTTCTTCATAGTGTCGATGGTCTTTACAATTTGTTATGTTTTTCCAGTGACTGGTATCAGTGTTTTTTTTTTTTCTATATTTAGTGCTTGCTTCAGGAGCTATTGTAAGGTGGGCTTGGTGGTGACAAAATCTCTCAACATTTTCTTGTCTGAAAGGATTTTATTTCTTCTTCACTTATGAAGCTTAGTTTTGCTGGATATGAAATTCTGGATTGAAAATTCTTCAAGAATGTTGAATATTGGCCCCCACTCTCTTCTGGCTTGTAGGGTTTTTGCAGAGAGATCCACTGTTAGTCTGATGGGCTTCCCTTTGTGGGTAACCTGACCTTTCTCTCTCGCTTCCCTTAACATTTTTTTTCGTGTGCATGTGTCTTTATAGCAGCATGATTTATAGTTCTTTGGGATAGATTTAGGAGATATACCTAAGGCTAAATGACGAGTTAATGGGTGCAGCACACCAGCATGGTACATGTACACATATGTAACTAACCTGCCCATTGTGCACATGTACCCTAAAACTTAAAGTATAATAATAATAATAAAATAAAATAAAATAAAAAAACATTTTTTTTCTTCATTTCAATTTTGGAGAATCTGACCCTTATGTGTCTTGGGGTTGCTTTCCTCGAGGAGTATCCTTCTGGTGTTCTCTGTATTTCCTGAATTTGAATGTTGGCTTCTTTTTCTAGGTTGGAGAAGTTCTCCTGGGTAATATCCTGAAGAGTGTTTTCCAACTTGGTTCCTTTCTCCTCGTCACTTTCAGGGACCCCAATCAATTGTAGGTTTGGTCTTTTCACATATTCCCATATTTCTTGGAGGCTTTGTTCATTCCTTTTCACTTTTTTTCCACTAATCTTGTCTTCACGATTTATTTCAGTAAGTTGACTTTCAACGTCTGATTTCCTTTCTTCCACTTGATAGATTCAGCTCTTGATACTTGTGTATGCTTCACGAAGTTCTCGTGTTGTGTTTTTCAGCCCCTTCAAGTCATTTATGTTCTTCTCTAAGCTGGTTATTCTGGTTAGCAATTCCTCTAATCTTTTTTCATGGTCCTTAGCTTCCTTGCACTGGGTTAGAACATGCTCCTTTAGCTTGCAGGAGTTTTTATTACTCACCTTCTGAAACCTAATTCTTTTTTTTTAATTTTATTATTATTATATTTTAAGTTTTAGGGTACATGTTCACAACGTGCAGGTTTGTTACATATGTATACATGTGCCATGTTGGTGTGCTGCACCCATTAACTTGTCATTTAGCATTAGGTATATCTCCTAATGCTATCCCTCCCCCTTCCCCCCACCCCACAACAGTCCCTGTTGTGTGATGTTCCCCTTCCTGTGTCCATGTGTTCTCATGGTTCAATTCCCACTTATGAGTGAGAACATGCGGTGATTGGTTTTTTGTCCGTGCGATAGTTTGCTGAGAATGATGGTTTCCAGTTTCATCCATGAAACCTATTTCTGCCAATTACTCAAACTCATTCTCCATCCAGTTTTGTTCCCTTGCTGGCGAGGAGTTGTGATACCTTGGAGGAAAAAAGGCATTCTTGTTTTTGGAATTTTCAGCCTTTTTGTGCTAGTTTTTCCTCATCTTCGTGGATTTGTCTACCTTTAGTCTTTGATGTTGGTGACCTTCGGATGGGGTTTCTGTGTGTACATCGTTTTTGTTGATGTTGATGCTATTCCTTTCTGTTTGTTAGTTTTCCTTCTAACAGTCAGGCCCCTCTGCTGCAGGTCTGCTGGGGTTTGCTGGAGGTCCAATCCAGACCCTGTTTGCCTGGGTATCACCAGCAGAGGCTGCAGAGAAGCAAAGATGGCTGCCTGTTCCTTCCTCTGGAAGCTTCGTCCCAGAGGGGCACTCACCAGATGCCAGCCAGAGCTCTTCTGTGTGAGGTGCCTGTTGACCCCTGCTGGGAAGTGTCTCCCAATCAGGAGGCACAGCAGTCAGGGAGCCACTTGAGGAGGCATTCTGTTTCTTAGCAGAACTTGAGCACTGTACTGGGAGATCTGCTGCTCTCTTCAGAGCCAGCAGGCAGGAATGTTTGAGTCTGCTGGAGCTGTACCCACAACCGCCCCTTCCCCCAGGTGCTCTGTCCCAGAGAGATGGGAGTTTTATCTATAAGCCACTGACTGGGGCTGCTGCGTTTCTTTCAGAGATGCCCTGCCCAGAGCAGAGGAATCTAGAGAGGCATTCTGGATACAGGGGCTTTGTGAAGCTGCGGTGAGCTCTGCCCAGTCCTAAGAACCCAGCCAGCTTTGTTTACACTGCGAGGGGAAAACAGCCTACTTAAGCCTCAGTAATGGTGGGTGCCCCTCTCCCCACCAAGCTTGAGTGTCACAGATCGACTTCAGACTGGTGTGCTGACAGGGAGAATTTCAAGCCAGTGGATTTTAGCTTGCTGGGCTCTGTGGGGTTGGGATCTGCTGAGCTAGACAACTTGCCTCCCTGGCTTTAGCCCCCTTTCCAGGGCAGTAAACAGTTCTGTCTTGCTGGCATTCCAGGTGCCACAGTGGTATGAAAAGAAAACTCATTCAGCTAGCTCAGTGTCTGCCCAAGCAGCCACCCAGTTTTGTGCTTGAAACCCAGGACCCTGGTGGCATAGGCACCCAAGGGAATCTCCTGGTCTGCAGGTTGTGAAGACCATGGGAAAAGCCTAGTATTTGGGCTGGAGTGCACTGTTTCTCAGGGCACAGTCCCTCATGGCTTCCCTTGGCTAGTGGAGGAAGTTCCCCAACCCCTTGTGCTTCCCGGGTGAGATGACACCGCACCCTGCTTCAGCTCGCCCTCCGTGGGCTGCACCCACTGTCTAACCAGTCCCAGTGAGATGAGCCAGGTACCTCAGTTGGAAATGCAGAAATCTCCTGCCTGCATTGATCTCCTGGAAACTGAACACCAAAGCTGTTCCTATTCGAATATCTTGCCAGACACCAGCAGTAAAGAATCTTAAGAGCTGTGAGACAAAAGCACCAGGTAACCTATAAAGAAAAACTTATCACATTAACAGCAGATTTCCCAGCAGAAACCCTACAAGCTAGAAAAAAAAAATTGGCCCTATTTTCACCCTCCTAAAACAAAACAATTATCAGCCAAGAATCTTGTATCCAGTGAAACAAAGCATCATATATGAAGAAAAGACACAGTCTTTTCAGACAAACAAATGCTGAGAGAATTTGCCACTACCAGACCACAATTACAAGAACTGCTAAAAGAAGCTCTAAATCTTGAAACAAATCCTGGAAACACATCAAAACAGAACCTCTAAAGCATAAATCACACAAAACCAATAAAACAGAAAAAAATTTAAGGGAGGAGCCAAGATGGCCAACTAGGAACAGCTCCGGTCTACAACTCCCAGAGTGAGCGACGCAGAAGACGGGTGATTTCTGCATTTCCATCTGAGGTACCGGGTTCATCTCACTAGGAAGTGCCAGACAGGGGGCGCAGGTCAGTGGGTGTGCGCACCATGTGCGAGCCTAAGCAGGGCGAGGCATTGCCTCACTTGGGAAGTGCAAGGAGTCAGGGAGTTCCCTTTCCGAGTCAAAGAAAGTGGTGACAGACAGGCACCTGGAAAATCAGGTCACTCCCACCCAAATACTGCGCTTTTCCGACGGGCTTAAAAAATGGCACACCAGGAGATTATATCCCACACATGGCTCAGAAGGGATAGCAGTAGGAGAAATACCTAATGTAAATCGTGAGTTAATGGGTGCAGCAAACTAACATAGCACATGTATACCTATACAGCAAACCTGCAGGTTGTGCACATGTACCCTAGAACTTAAAATATAATTAAAAAAAAAAAGAATACAGGATGGGCTTGTATTTTTTTGTTTTTTTTTACATAGAGTCTTGGTCTCTCACCCAGGCTGGAGTGCAGGGGCGTGATCTCAGTTCTCTGCAACCTTGACCTCCTGGGTGCAAGTGATTCTCCTGCCTCAGCCTCTCCAGTAGCTGAGATTACAGTTGCACACCACACACCCAGCTAATTTTTTTATTTCTCAGTAGATACAGGGTTTCACTATGTTGGCCAGGCTGGTTTTGAACTGCTGACCTCATGACTCACCCACCTTGACCTCCCAGAGTACAGGAATTACAAGTGTGAGCCACTGTGCCTGGCTGATGGGCCTGTATTACTACTGTTACTATTATTATTATATCCATTTCAAAAATGTGGAAATGGAGGCTCAGAGAAGTTACATATGTTTCCAAAAATTGACTAATAGCTGACCCTGAATTTGGACCTAAACCTATCAACTCCAAGCCCGCAAATGCTCTGTTGAGTGCTCTACTCTGAGTTGAAAGGACACTTTCCTAAACCATATGGGAGCAGAAGTCCTCAGTTCTTTCGTGTTCTTTCATTCAATTCTATCAATGGGACAGTTAGTTGTTCTACCATAGCCAAATTGCTAACAGAGTGCTGACTCTTCATTTTAGCTATTGGAGGTGCTCTAACTCCTCGCTGAATTTTTCAATGTACCTCCAGACCATGGGTGAGCTTTGGGGACAATAATGAAATGTGAAGCAGCTACAGAGAGATGATGTCACCTAATGGAATATGGCCCACGTTAGTTCTCCCAACTTGGATTATAGGCCCCCATCACACCCCCCAATTGTTAACTAAATAGCAGAGACTCTTGGCAAGTCACTTAACCTCTCTGTGCTTCTAATAACAACTACAATAAAAACAGTACAACCTGAAAAAAAATGCTTAACATAATTTAACCATTACTGAAATTCAAATAGGGAGAGACAACATTTCATATCCACTAGGATTGCTAGTGTGAAAGTTAATTATTCAAATTGGGTCATTCTTGTCATAACCAAATAAATCAGTCAAGGGGCCACAGGGAAAAAGCCCTGGGAGCTTATAGCACCTGATCCAAGAATTAAATCTTCTACAAGCCCAGCTGTTGAAATGGCCTGCTGTAACCCCAAGACCAACTTTACCTAGGAGCTGCTGAAACAACTTGCTGGGACCCTAACACTGGTTTTACTTACCACCATCACTCACTAATCAGAGCTAGCAAGAAGCTTGCTATCTCCCCAAAGCTTCTCTAGTGCGAATGAACTTTCTTTCAAAACAATACAGAATATGTCTTTTTCTAATAAAATTTCCAACATTCTCTTTGGGACATACTGGAGACCACTTGGTCTGTGTGTATGCCCTCAATTGCTTTCCAAATAAAACATTTTAAATGTAAAAAAAATATATATTTGCATCAATGTTCATCAAATATGTTGGCCTGAAGTGTTTTTTGTTTTTGTTTTTGTTGTGCCTCTGCCAGATTTTGGTATCAAGATGATGCTGGCTCCATAGAATAAGTTGAAAAGGAGTTACTCCTTCTTAATGTTTTGAAATAGTTTCTGTATGAATTGTACCAGCCTGTCCATCAGGCCCCAAGTTTTTTTCTTAGTAGGCTATTTATTACTGATTTAATTTCGGAGCTTGTTATTGGTCTTTTCAGAAAATTTATTTCTACCTGCCTCAGTCTTTGGAGAGTGTATGTGTCCGGGAATTTATTCATCTCTTCTAGGTTTTCTAGTTTGTGAGAGTAGAGGTGTTCATAGTAGTTTATAATGGTTATCATCTTTTTTTTTTTTTTGGAAGGGATGAGTAGTATCATTTTATTAAACATTTCCAATTGTGTTTATTTGAATCTTCTCTTTTTTCTTTTTTATTAGTCTAGCTAGTGACCTATCTAATTTATTAAGTTTTTCAAAAAACCAACTCCTGGATTTGTTCATCTTTTGAACTCTTTTTCATGTCTTGATTTTCTTCAGTTCAGCTCCGATTTTGATTTGTTTTTGTCAGCTGGTAGCTTTGCAGTTGATTTATTCCTGCTTCTCTAATTATTTTAGTTGTGAAGTTAGGTTGTTAATTTGAAATCTTTCTAACTTTTGATGTGGGCATTTAGTACTATAAATTTTCCTCTTAACACTGCCTTACCTGTATCTCAGACATTCTGATATTTTGAATCTTTGTTTTCATGATTTTAAAAGAACTTCTTGATTTCTACCTTAATTTCATTATTTACCCAAAAGTCATTCAGGGGCATGTTGTTTAATTTCCATGTAATTGCATAGTAGTTTTGAGCAATTTTCATAGTCATGACTTCTATTGTTTTTGCACTGTAGTGCAAGAGTGTGTTTGGTATGATTTTGGTTCTTTTATATTTGTTGGAGATTGTTTTCTGTCTAATTATGTGTCATTATTAGAGTATGTGCCATTTGGCAATGGGAAGAATGTATATTTTGTTGATTTGGGCTGGAGAGTTCTGTAAAGGCCAATTAGATCCATTTGGTTTAATGTTAAGCTTAGGTCCTGAATATCTTTGTTAATTTTCTGCCTCTATAATCTGTCTAATATTGTCAGTGGAGTGTTTAAGTATCCCACTATTATTGTGTGGGAGTCTATGTCTCTTTGTCTCTTGGTAGGTCTCTAAGAACTTGCTTTGTGAATCTGATTGCTGCTGTGTTGAGTGTGCATATATTTAGAATAGTTAGGTCTTCTTGCTGAATTGAACCCTTTATCATTATGTAATGCCTTTGTCTTTGTTTTTTCTGTCTTATCTGATCTTTGTTGGTTTTAAAGCTGTTTCGTCTGAAATTAGAACTGTAGCCCCTGCTTTCATTTGTTTTCCATTTGCTTAGTATATTTTCTTTCATCTTTTTAATTTGAGCCTATGAATGTCATGATGTGTGACATGGGTCTTTTGAGGACAGCATATCATTGAGTCTTTCTTTTTTATCCAGCTTTCCACTCTGTACATTCTAAGTGGGGCATTTAGCCCACATATATTCAAGGTTAGTATTGGTAGGTGTGAATTTGTTCCTGTCATTGTGTTGTTAGCTGATTTTTATGTTGGCTTGTTTGTGTGGTTGCTTAACAGTGACACTGGTCTGTGTGTTTAAGTGTGTTTTTGCATTAGCTGATAGCAGTCTTTCCTTTCTATATTTAGTGCTCCTTTCAAGATCTCTTGTAACGTATGCCTGGTGGTAACAAATTTCTTATCTGAAAATGATCTTATTTCTTCTTCACATAGGAAACTTAGTTTGATTAGATATAAAATTCTTGGTTGAAAATTTTTTTCTTTAAGAGTGTTGAATATAGGCCCCAATCTCTTCTGGCTTATAGGGTTTCAGTTGAGAGGCCACTCTTAGCCCGACAGGGTTTCCTTTGTAGGTGACCTGCCCTTTCTCTCTAGACGTCTTAACATTTTTTCTTTAAGAGTGTTGAATATAGGCCCCAATCTCTTCTGGCTTATAGGGTTTCAGCTGAGAGGCCACTGTTAGCCCGACAGGGTTTCCTTTGTAGGTGACCTGCCCTTTCTCTCTAGATGTCTTTACATTTTTTCTTTTAACTTTGGAAAATCTGATAATTATGTATCTTGAGGATGAACTTCTTATTTAGAATCTTGCAGGAGTTCTCTGTAGTTCCTGAATTTGACTGTTGGCCTCTCTAACAAGATTGGGGAAGTTTTCATGAACAATAGCCTGAAATATATTATCCACGTTTTTCACTTTCATCCCCTTCCTTTAAAGGATGCCAATGATTTGCAGATTTGGTCTTTTTACATAATCCGATACTTCTTGGAGGTTTTGTTTATTCCTTTTTATACTTTTTTCTTTATTTTTGTCTTACTGCCTTATTTCAGAGAACTACTTTTCAAGTCTTGAGATTCTTTCCTCAGCTTGGTTTATTCTGCTGTTGATACTTGTAATTGCGTTGTGAAATTCTTGTATTGTGTTACTTAGTTCTGACCTATTAAGTTCTGTTTTATACTGGCTATTCATCCTTCAGCTACTGTGTTACTTTATTGTGATTCTTATTTTCCTTGGATTGGGTTTTATCATCCTCCTGAATCTCAATGAAAATATGGAACACTTCACAAATTTGTGTGTTATCCTTTTACAAGTGCCATGCTAATCTTCTTTGTATCATTCCAATTGAGCATGATAGCATATTTTCAACAAGACCTTTTTGCTAATATCAATTTATATAACAAATTATTAAAACCATATTATTTCCATTTTAACAAGTATCCTGCTGGGAATGGTGGCTCATAACTGTAATCCTACCACTTTGGGAGACCAAGGCAGGAGATATGCTTAATCTCAGGAATTCAGTATCAGCCTGGGCCCCATCTCTACAGAAAATAAATTTACAAAACATTAGCTGAGTGTGGTGGTGCATGCCTGTAGTTGGAGCTACTGGGGAGCCTGTGGTGGAAGAATCACTTGAGCCCAGTAGACTGAGGCAACAGTGAGCCATGATCATGCCACTGCACTTCAGCCTGAGTAACAGAGCAAGACCCTCTCTCAAAAGCAAAACAAAAGAAAACAAATATCCAAGTTCTTCTGTGGTGTCAACGTTGCTAATTTCCATTCACATAAACACTATGTTATTATGTCCTAAAGTTTTAACACTATTTTTAAAATATTTGAAGTTAGTGCAATGTTGATATTTTTACAGAGTCATGATATTTTTATTTTACTTTACCAATCATAAAATTAATGATAATTTGTGAAGAGGTTATTGCTAATTAAGCTTATAAACCAAAAAATTTCCAAGGCAGGTCTCAATCAATTTAGAAGTTTATTTTGCCAAGGTTAAGGACATGCTCAGAAAAAATAAACATGGAATTAAAGAAACAGTCTGTGGTCTGTGCCTTTCTCCAAAGATGCCTGAGGGCTTCAATATTTAAAGGGAAAAATTGGGCTGGAGGAGACAGATGGAGGGTCTGGTAATTCACATGTTGCAAGAGAAAAAGGAGCGGGTGGAGGAATAGTCAACTTTGTATTTGTCTCATGCTCAGTTAATCAGCACATTACATAAGATAAGGTGAACATAGAGTAATCACCTGTAGAGATATCTAATCTTTCACCTGTAGCTATCTGCTTAGGAACAAAAGTAAAGGCAGCTTCTTGCATAATCCAACTTTTGGCTTAACTTTTTTTCTGTTGGCATAGTGAATTAGGTTCCAAAGTTTTTATTTTCCTTCACATTTCTCCCCCTTCTTTTTTAAAAAATAAAATCTATAAGAGAAAGCTTTTTAGAAGAAAATTAGTTTCTAGTCTTGGGTTTTGTCTGATCTCTCATGACTAGGGCATTTATTCTTGCATGGAAAGGTACCACATTGTTAGTCAAGCTCATTTTTAGTAGGTTGTAAAATCTCATGTCTCACCAAAAAAAGTAGGGAGAGGAAGAGAGAAAGAAAACAGAAAAATGGAGGAAATAACAGACGTAAAAAAGAAAAACAATGCTTGAAAACTGATATAAACTGTGTGACTCTGAAGTCCATACATCAGTACTTATATATGTAGGAAGGTATGAAAATAGTTTATATATGTATACATAAATAGGCTGCTGTTATTTTCCTCTGAAGTTCAAATTGTCTAGCTTCAGGTCACAGGGCCTTAAGAAAAGCACAGCTTAATTTTTAGTAATTTTAAATCAGGAAAAATGAAGAAAAAGGTAAAGAAAGAAGAAAAATATCTAAAACATAATTTTGAAGATTTGTAGCCAGAGAAAATTTTACAATTTGGTTAAAATTGTAGAATATAATAAAAATGTGAAATGCAGTAGGCAAGGCTAGAATCAAATAACAGGTGTATTATAGTTTATTATTGAGAGGTAATTTTCCTTTCTCCAATTTCCCATTCTATTAAAGATAAAAATTACAGTAAAACAATTTATTTGTAAAATAAGTTTTAGTTGTATTATACTTGGCTTGATTATTTGCATAAAGTGCAGCAAGAATAATAACTTGCCATATAGGCTCACTTGTTTTCTTAAATTGGCTTTGCTGAAACTTTTTAAATAAAAATTCTAGACCTTTTGAAAAGAAACAAACCCAGGCAAAGATTTATCTGTGCCTGCCAATACCTGTGTGAATTTAGTACATGCTTCTGTTTTTGAGGTCCCAAGAAAACTTAGGGTTCCTGGGCCTGTTATTAACTGACATTCTTTACTTACCACAGGTAAGTAAAGGAAAAGGGATGCTGCCAGCTCTTCCAAGGTTTTTATCAGCTCTATAAGTCAGCCTCATTTTCTCAAGAAAATCTGAAAATATATTATTCCAGCCAAAGCCTTGGTAAAATAACCAGTGTCTCCAATTATTCCTTGTTATAAAAGAAATCAGATTTTTATTGAACTTATCCAAACAACTATATTGTCATAAATTAAGAATACTCACAAAATAGTTCCCAAATTTTGGAGAAATTAGGTTGAGAGAAAGAAATTATGTTTCAAAATTTGCTTATAAGAGTATATTTTACCTCATTGTTAAAAGCCATAAATAGCTTAAAATATAGAAATTTGTCTTGACTCTGAAAGGTAAAACAAAAAGAATCAGCAAATGTTTTAAATAAGAAGTCTTAAAAGATTATTTTAATCTTCTGTTTAGTTCATACAATTAACTCCTGCTTTGCTCAGTATTAGATCAACAATCCTTATGAATACATAAGCTCTCTATGGGAGTCATGAAAGTTTTTCTCTATATCTCAATAGCATAATCTCTAAATTTATTAGAAATTAATATTTCAGAGTACTCTTTAGAGATTAATAGCTGATTATAAACTGCCCAAAAAGAATCAAAGTTAAAAAATAAGTGTGAATTATAAAAGTCTTAGAACAGCCCTGGTTAAAGACACAACTGCTCCGGGCACATGGGCTCACACCTGTAATCCCAGCACTTTAAGAGGCCAAGGCAGGTGGATAACTTGAGATCAGGAGTTCAAGACCAGCCTGGCCAATATGTTGAAACCCCGTCTCTACTAAAAATACAAAAATGAGCCAGGTGGCTTATGCCTGTAATCCCACAAGTGAATCTTGTGCCTCAGCCTGCCAAGTAATTGGGATTACAGGCAAGCACCACCATGCCTGTCAGATTTTTGTATTTTTAGTAGAGAGTGGGTTATGTCATGTTGGCCAGCCAGGTTTCAAACTCCTGGCTTCTTGCAATCTAACTGCCTTGGCCTCCCAAAGTGCTGGGATTACAGGCATAAGCCACCATGCCTGGCTGAATGCCTATTATATAATATAACATTAGATTCCAAATTATATAAGTTTATTTTCAATTATTAAATTACATTTACCTAATTAATTTTTTAAATAGTTTGCCTAGATTATTTATTAAAACTGTGATAGTCATTATTTAAAGTTACTTTTTGATTAACCATTCTTATAGCCTGTGAATTTTAGGCATTTAGGTGCTTGGGTGATGGGTGCACCAAAATCTCACAAATCACCACTAAAGAACTTACCCATGTAACCAAATACGACCTGTACCCCAATAACCTATGGAAAAATAAATAAATACATAAATCCTAAAAACATAAATAAATAATTTAAAAAGAATAGCTACTCCTGATCACTTTGGTTTCCACTTGTATGGAATGTCTTCTTTCACACCTTTTCTTTTAGTTTATATGAATTCTTATGTGTTAACTGAGTCTCTTAAAGACAGCAGATATTTGGTTTATAATTTTTTTTTTTTTTTGAGATGGAGTCTCGCTCTTTCGCCCAGGCAGAGTGCAGTGGCACAATCTCAGTATAATTTTTTATTGATTCTGATAATCTGTATCTTTTATGTAGAGCATTTAGGCCATTTACATTCAATGTTAATATTGAGATATGAAGCACTGTTCCATTCATCATGTTAATTGTTACCTACTTTGTATTCATTATGTTATTATTTTTTAGGTCACATGAGTTTTGTGATTTTAAGAGGTTCTATTTTGGTGCATATTGAGCTTTTGTTTCAAGATTTAGAAATCATTCTAACATTTCTTGTAGGGCTGGTTTGGTAGTGGCATATTCTCACAGAATTTGTTTGTCTAAAAATTAATTTATTTCTTTTTCATTTGTGGAATTTAGTTTTGCTGCATACAAAATTATTTGCTGACAGTTATTCTGTTTAACAAGGCTAAAGATATAAGCAAAATTATTTCTGGCTTGTAAGGTTTCTGCTGAGAAGTCTGCTGTTAGTGATAGGTTTTTCTTTATAGGTTACCAAGTGCTTTTGTCTCACTGCTCTTAGAATTATTTTCTTAATTTTAACTTTAGATAGACAGATGACTATATGTCTTGGTGATGACTTTTGTAATGAATCTCCAAGGATTTAATTGAGCTTCTTGTATTTGGATATCTAAATTTCTAGCAAAGCCAGGAAAATTTCCCTCAATTATTCTCTCAAATTTTCAAATTATTGCTTTCTCTTCTCTTTCAGAAAAATAAATTATTTTTATGCTTGACCATTTTACATAAGCCCATATTTTTTGATACTTTGTTCATTTCTTTTGATTATTTTCATATGCATTTTCTGATCGTGTTAATTCAAAAGCCCTATCTTCAAGCTATTGTTAAAGCTTTCCAATGCATTTTGTAATTCTCTAAATGTATCTTTTATTTCCAGAAGTTCTGATTAGTTTTTATTTAAGATATCTAGCTGTATTGGTTTGTTCTCATGCTGCTAATAAAGACAATACCTGAGATTGGGTAATTTATAAAGAAAAATAGGTTTAATGTACTCACAGTTCTCATGGCTGGGGAAGCTTCACAATTATGGCAGAAGGTGGAGGAGGAGCAAAGGCATGTATTACATGGTGGCAGGCAAGAGAGCATGTGCAGGGGAACTTCTCTTTATAAAACCATCAGATCTCATAAGACTTATTCACTATCAAGAAAACAGCATGGGAAAAAACCCACCCCCATGATTCAATTACCTCCCACTGGGGTTTTCCCATGACATGTGGGGATTATGAGAGCTACAGTTCAAGATGAGATTTGGGTGAGGACACAGCCAAACCATATCATTCCACCCCTGGCCCCTCCCAAATATCATGTCCTCACATTTCAAAACCAATCATGTCTTCCCAACAGTCCCCGAAAGTCTTAACTCATTTCAGCATTTATTCAAAACTGCACAGTCCAAAGTCTCATCTGAGACAAGGCAAGTCCCTTCCACCTGTGAGCCTGTAAAATCAAAATCAAGTTAGTTACTTCCTAGATACAATGAGGATACAGGCATTGGGTAAATACACCCATTCCTAATGGAAGAAATTTGTCAAAATATAGGGACCACAGGCCCCATGCATGTATGCAAATCAATATGACAGTCAGTAAACCTTAAAGTTCCAAAGTAATCTCCTTTTACTCCATATCTCATATCCAGGGCATGCTGATGCAAGAGGTAGGCTGCCACAACCCTGGCTTCACAGGGTACATCCCCACTCCTGAGTGCTTTCACATGCTGGTGTTGAGTGTCTTTGGCTTTTTAGGTGCACAGTGCAAGCTGTAGGTGGATCTACCATTGTGGGGTCTGGAGGATGATGGCCATCTTCTCATAGCTCCACTTGGCAATGCCCCAGTTGGGGACTCTGTGTTGGGGGTTCAACCCCACATTTTCCTTCTGCACTGCCCTAGCAGAGGTTCTCCATGAGGGCCCACCCCTGCAACATACTTTCCTGGGTATCCAGGCATTTCCATACATCCTCTGAAATCTAGGTAGAGGTTCCCAAACTTCAATTTTTGATTTCTGTGCACCAAAGGCTCAACACTACATGGAAGCTGACAAGGCTTGGGGCTTACACCTTCTGGAGGAATAGCCTGAGCTGTATCTTGGCTTCTTTCAGCCATAGCTGGAGCAGCTGGGACTCAGGGCACCAAGTCTCTAGGCACACATCAGGGGTGTCCTGGGCCTGACCCATGAAACCATTTTTTCCTCCTACCCCTCCTGACATGTGATGGGAGTTGCTGTCATAAAGATCTCTGACATGCCCTGGAGACACATTCCTCATTGTCTTGGTGATTAACCTTGGGTTTCTCATTACTTATGCAAATTTCTGCAGCTGGCTTGAATTTTTCCCCAAAAGATGGGTTTTTCTTTCCTACCACATGGCCAGGCTGCCCATTTTCCAAACTGTGATGCTCTACTTCCTCTTGAACACGTTGTCACTTAGAAATTTCTTACATCAGATACCCTAAATTATCTCTCTCAAGTTCAAAGTTCCACAGATCTCTAGGGTAGGGGCAAAATATTGCCAGTTTCTTTGCATAGCAAAAGTGACCTTTACTCGAGTTCCCAATACATTCCTCATCTCCATCTGAGTCCACCTCAGCCTAGACCTTATTGTCCATATCACTATCAGCATTTTGGTCAAAGCCATTCAACAAGTCTCCAGGAAGTTCCATACTCTCCCACATCTTTCTGTTTCTGAGCCCTCCAAGTCTCTAGGAAGTTCCAAACTTTCCCACTTTTCTTATCTTCTTCTGAGCCCTCCAAACTGTCCCAAGCTCTGCCTGTTACCCAGTTTCAAAGTCACCTCCACATTTTTTAGTATCTTTACAGCAGTTCCCCACTACTTGGTACCAATTTACTGTATTAATCCATACTCATGCTTCTAATAAAGAGATACCTGAGATTGAGTAATTTATATAAAAAAAAGAGTTGACTCACAGTTTCACATAGCTGGGGAGGCCTCACAATCATGGTGGAAGGTGAGAAAAGAACAAAGGTATGTCTTACATGGTGGGAGGAAAGAGAGAATGAGAGCCAAGTGAAAAGTGAAACACCTTATAAAACCATCAGATCTCATGAGACTTATTCACTACTATGAGAACAGTATAAGGGCAACTGCCCCCATGATTCAGTTATCTCCCACTGGGTCCCTCCCACAACATGTGGAATTATGGGATCTACAATTCAAGATGAGGTTTGGGTGGGGACAAAGCCAAACTATAACACAGATGTAGACTTTCACACAAAAATAGTGGAGAACTGTAACACTCCACTGATGGTATCAGACAGATTATCAAGGTAGAAAATTAAAGGAAATATTTAGGACCTGAACTCAATATTGGACCAAAATGATCTGATAAACATCTTTATCCCAAAACAAGAGAATATGCATTATTCTCATTGACATATGGCACACATTCTGAATTCTACTACATAATTGGACATAAAATAATCCTCAGCAGGAGGTTCCAAGATGGCCAAATAGGAAGAGCTCCAGGCTCCAGTGCTTAGTGTGAGCGATGAAGAAGACAGGTGATTTCTGCATTTCCAACTGAGTTACTGGGTTCATCTCACTGGGGCTTGTCAGACAGTGAGTGCAGCCCATGGAGTGTGAGCCAAAGTAGGATGGGGCATCGCCTCACCTGGGAAGTGCAAGGGGTCAGGGAATTCCCTTTCCTAGCCAAGGAAAGCCATGACAGACGATACCTGGAAAATTGGGACACTGCCACCCTATTACTGTGCTTTTCCAAAGGTCTTAGCAAGTGGCACACCAGGAGATTATATCCCACGCATGGCTCAGAGAGTCCCACGCCCAGGGAGCCTCACTCACTGCTAGCACAGCAGTCTGGGATCGAACTGCAAGGCAGGAGCGAGGCTAGGGGAGGGGCGTCCACCATTGCTGAGGTTTGAGTAGGTAAACAAAGCAGCTAGGAAGCTCAAACTGGGTGAAGCCCACCGCAGCTCAAGGAGGCCTGCCTGCCTCTGTAGAATCCACCTCTGGGAGCAGGGCATAACTGAACAAAAGGCAGCAGAAACTTCTGCAGACTTAAATGTCCCTGGCTGACAGCTTTAAAGAGAGTAGTGGTCCTCCCGGTGTGGAGTTTCAGATCTGAGAATGGACAGACTGCCTCCTCAAGTGGGTCCCTGATCCCTGAGTAGCCTAACTGGGAGGCACCTCCCAGGAGTGGCCGATGGACACTTCATACAGCCAGGTGCACATCTGAGATGAAGCTTCCAGAGGAAGGATCAGGCAGCAACATTTGACGTTCTGCAATATTTGCTGTTCTGCAGCCTCCACTGGTGATACCCAGGAAAACAGAGATGGGAGTGGACCTCCAGCAAACTCCAACAGAACTGCAGCTGAGGGAACTGACTGTTAGAAGGAAAACTAACAAACAGAAAGGACATCCACACCAAAACCCTATCTCTATGTCACCATCATCAAAGACCAAAGGTAGATAAAACCACAAAGATGGGGAGAAAACAGAGCAGAAAAGCTTAAAATTCTAAAAATCAGAGTGCCTCTTCTCTTCCAAAGGAATGCAGCTCCTCACTAGCAATGGAACAAAGCTGGATGGAGACTGACTTTGACGAGTTGAGAGAACAAGGCTTCAGACGATCAGGAATAAGAAACTTCCCTGAGCTAAAGGAGGATGTTTGAACCCATAGCAAAGAAGCTAAAAACCATGAAAAAAGATTAGACGAATTGCTAACTAGAATAAACAGCGTAGAGAAGACCTTAAATGACTTGATGGGGCTGAAAACCGTGGCACAAGAACTATCTGACGAATGCACAAGCTTCAGTAGCCGAATTGATCAAGTGGAAGGGTATCAGTGACTGAAGATCAAATGAATGAAATGAAGTGAGAAGAGAAGTTTAGAGAAAAAAGAGTAAAAAGAAAGAACAATGCCTCCAAGAAATATGGGACTACGTGAAAAGACCAAATCTATGTCTGATTGGTATACCTGAAAGTGATGGCAAGAATGGAACCAAGTTGGAAAACACTCTACAGGATATTATCCACGAGAACTTCCTCAACCTGGCAGGGCAGGCCAACATTCAAATCGAGAAAATACAGAGAACACAACAAAGATAATCCTCCAGAAGAGTAACTCCAAGACACATAACTGTCAGATTCACCAAAGTTGAAATGAAGGAAAAAATGTTAAGGGCAGCCAGAGAGAAAGGTCGGGTTACCCACAAAGAGAAGCCCCTCAGACTAACAGCGGATCTCTCGGCAGAAACTCTACAAGCCAGAAGAGAGTGGGGGCCAATATTCAACATTCTTAAAGAAAAGAATTTTCAACCCAGAATTTCATATCCAGCCAAACTAAGCTTCATAAGTGAAGGAGAAATAAAATACTTTACAAACAAGCAAATGCTGAGAGATTTTGTCACCACCAGGCCAGGCTTACAAGAGCTCGTGAAGGAAGCACTAGACATGGAAAGGAACAATCGGTACCAGCCACTACAAAAACATGCCAAATTGTAAAGACTATCAATGCTAGGAAGAAACTGCATCAACTAATGGACAAAATAACCAGCTAACATCATAATGACAGGATCAAATTCACACATAACAATATTAACCTTAAATGAAAATGGGCCAAATGCTCCAATTAAAAGACACAGAATGGCAAATTGGATAGAGTCAAGACCCATCAGTGTGATGTATTCAGGAGACCCATCTCAGGTGCAGGACACACATAGGCTCAAAATAAAGGGATGGAGGAAGATCTACCAAGCAAATGGAAAACAAAGAAAAAGCAGGGGTTGCAATCTTAGTCTCTGATAAAACAGACTTTAAACCAACAAAGATCAAAAAAGACGAAGAAGGCCATTACATAATGGTAAAGGGATCAATTCAACAAGAAGAGCTAACTATCCTAAATATATAAGCACCCAATACAGGAGCACCCAGATTCATAAATCAAGTCCTTAGAGACCTATAAAGAGACTTAGACTCCCACACAATAATAATGGGAGACTTTAACACCCCACCGCCAACATTACGCAGATAACAAGACAGAAAGCTAACAAGGATATCCAGGAATTGAACTCAGCTCTGCACCAAGCGAACCTAATAGACATCTAGAGAACTCTCCATCACAAATCAACAGCATATACATTCTTCTCAGCACCACATCTCGCTTATTCCAAAATTGACCACATATTTGGAAGTAAAGCACTCCTCGGCAAATGTAAAAGAACAGAAATTAAAACAAACTGTCTCTCAGACCACAGTGCAATCAAACTACAACTCAGGATTAAGAAACTCACTCAAAACCACAAAACTACATGGAAACTGAACAACCTGCTCCTGATTGACTACTGGGTACATAACAAAATGAAGGCAGAAATAAGGAAATAAAGATGTTCTTTGAAATCAATGAGAACAAAGATACAACATACTAGAATCTCTGGGACACATTCAAAGCAGTGGGTAGAGGGAAATTTATAGCACTAAATGCCCACAAGAGAAAGCAGAAAAGATCTAAAATTGACACCCTAACATCACAATTAAAAGAACTAGAGAAGCAAGAGGAAGCACATTCAAAAGATAACAGAAGGCAAGAAATAACTAAGATCAGAGCAGAACTGAAGGAGTTAGAGACACAAAAAACCCTTCAAAAAATCAATGAATCCAGGAGTTGGTTTTTTGAAAAGATCAACAAAATTGATAGACTGCTAGCAAGAATAATAAAGAAGAAAAGAGAGAAGAATCAAATAGACACAATAAAAAATGATAAAGGGGATATCACCACTGATCCCACAGAAACACAAACTACCATCAGAGAATACTATAATCACCTCTGTGCAAATAAACTAGAAAATCTAGAAGAAATGGATAAATTCCTCGACACATACACCCTCCCAAGACTAAACCAGGAAGAACTTGAATCCCTGAATTGACCAATAACAGGCTCTGAAATTGAGGCAATAATTAATCGCCTACCAACCAAAAAAAGTCCAGGACAAGACAGACCCACAGCCAAATTCTATCAGAGGCACAAAGAGGAGCTGGTATCATTCCTTCTGAAACTATTCCAATCAATAGAAAAAGAGGGAGTCCTCCCTAACTCATTTTATGAGGCCAGCATCATCCTGATACCAAAGCCTGGCAGAGACATAACAAAAAAAGAGAATTTTAGACCAATATCCCTGATGAACATCGATGCAAAAATCCTCAATAAAATACTGGCAAACCGAATCCAGCAACACATCAAAAAGCTTATCCACCACAATCAAGTTGGCTTCATCCCTGGGATACAAGGCTGGTTCAACATACACAAATCAATAAACGTAATCCATCATATAAACACAACCAAAGACAAAAACCACATGATTATCTCAATAGATGCAGAAAATGTCTTTGACAAAATTCAACAGCCCTTCATGCTAAAAACTCTCAATAAATTAGGTATTGATGGGACATATCTCAAAATAATAAGAGCTATTTATGACAAACCCACAGCCAATATCACACTGAATGGGCAAAAACTGGAAGCATTCCCTTTGAAAACTGGCATAAGACAGGGATGCCCTCTCTCTCCAATCCTATTCAACATAGTGTTGCAAGTTCTGGCAAGGGCAATCAGGCAGGAGAAAGAAATAAAGGGTATTCAATTAGGAAAAGAGGAAGTCAAATTGTCCTTGTTTGCAGATGACATGATTGTATATTTAGAAAACTGCTTATCTCAGCCCAAAATCTCCTTAAGCTGATAAGCAACTTCAGCAAAGTCTCAGGATACAAAATCAATATGCAAAAATCACAATCATTCTTATACACCAATAACAGACAAACAGAGAGCCAAATCACGAGTGAACTCCCATTCACAATTACTTCAAAGAGAATAAAATACCTAGCAATACAACTTACAAGGGACGTGAAGGACCTCTTCAAAGAGAACTACAAACCACTGCTCAACGAAATAAAACAGGACACAAACAAATGGAAGAACATTCCAGGCTCATGGATAGGAAGAATCAATATCATGAAAAAGGCCATACTGCCCAAGATAATTTGTAGATTCAATGCCGTCCCCATCAAGCTACCAATGACTTTCTTCACAGAATTGGAAAAAACTACTTTAAAGTTCATATGGAATCAAAAAAGAGCCTGCATTTCCAAGACAATCATAAGCCAAAAGAACAAAGCTGGAGGCATCACACTACCTGACTTCAAACTATACTACAAGGCTACAGTAACCAAAACAGCATGGTACTGGTACCAAAACAGAGATATAGACCAATGGAACAGAGCAGAGCCCTCAGAAATAATACCACACATCTACAACCATCTGATCTTTGACAAACCTGTCAAAAACAAGAAATGGGGAAAGGATTCCCTATTTAATAAATGGTGCTGGGAAAACTGGCTAGCCATAGGTAGAAAGCTGAAACTGGGTCCCTTCCTTACACCTTATACAAAAATTAATTCAAGATGGATTAAAGACTTAAATGTTAGACCTAAAACCATAAAAACCCTAGGAAAAAAACCTAGGCAATACCATTCAGGACATAGGCATGGGCAAGGACTTCATGACTAAAACAACAGAAGCAATGGCAACAAAAGCCAAAATAACAAATGAGGTCTAATTAAACTAAAGAGCTTCTGCACAGCAAAAGAAACTACCATCAGAGTGAACAGGCAACCTACAGAATAGGAGAAAATTTTTGCAATCTACCCATCTGACAAAGGGCTAATATCCAGAATCTACAAAGAACTTAAACAAATGTACAAGAAAAAACAAACAACCCCATCAAAAAGTGGGTGAAGGATATGAACAGACACTTCTCAAAAGAAGACATTTATGCAGCCAACAGGCACATGAAAAACTGCTCATCATCACTGGCCATCAGAGAAATGCAAATCAAAACCACAATGAGATACCATCTCACACCAGCTAGAATGGCAGTCATTAAAAAGTCAGGAAACAACAGGTGCTGGAGAGGATGTGGAGAAATAGGAACAGTTTTACACTGTTGGTGGGACTGTAAACTAGTTCAACCATTGTGGAAGTCAGTGTGGCAATTCCTCAGGGATCTAGAACTAGAAACACCATTTGACCCAGCCATCCCATTACTGGGTATATACCCAAAGGATTATAATCATGCTGCTATAAAGACACATGCACACGTATGTTTATTGTGGCACTATTCACAAAAGCAAAGACTTGGAACCAACCCAAATGTCCGTCAATGATAGACTGGATTAAGAAAATGTGGCACATATATACCATGGAATACTATGCAGCCATAAAAAATGATGAGTTAATGTCCTTTGTAGGGACATGGATGAAGCTGGAAACCATCATTTTCAGCAAACTGTCACAAGGACAAAAACCAAACACCACATGTTCTCACTCATAGGTGGGAACTGAACAATGAGATCACTTGGACACAGGAAGGGGAACATCACACACTGGGGCCGGTTGTGGGGTGAGGGGAGTGGAGAGGGCTGAGGGATAGCATTAGGAGATATACCTAATGTAAATGATGAGTTAATGGGTGCAGCACACCAACCTGGCACATGTATACATATGTAACAAACCTGCATGTTGTGCACATGTACCCTAGAACTTAAAGTATAATAAAAAATAATAATAATAAACAAATAAATAAATGTGTTAATGTTGGCAAGTTAAAAAAATAATAATCCTCAGCAAATTTAAAACAGTCATAATTATACCAAACATAGTATTGGACTGCTGAGCAATAACAGTAGAAGTGAAGACTAAGACAATTCCTCAAAACAATGCAATTACATGAAAATTAAACAACATACTCCAGAATGATTTTTGGGTAAAGAACAAAATTAGGACACCAAATCAAATAGTTCTTTGAAATTAATGAGAACAAAGATACAACATTTCAGAATCTCTGGGACACAGCTAAGGCAGTTTTAAGAGAGAAGTTCATAGCACTAAATGCCCACATCAAAAAGTTAGAAATATCCCAAGTTAAAAACTTAAATTCACAACTGAAAGAATTAGAGAAGCAAGAACAAATTAACCCCCAATCTAGCAGGAGACAAGAAATGACCAAAATCATAGCTACACTGAAGGATATCAAGACACAAAAAAACCCATTCAAAATATCAATGAATCCAGATTTTTTTTAATAGTTTTTTTTTTGAGATGGAATCTCGCTCTGTCACTCAGGCTGGAGTTCAGTGGCATGATCTCAGCTCACTACAAGCAGCAAGGCATTCAAGAGGTGACATGACTTATTCTGAAAGCATTCAGTTACATGCATTAACAAAGAGATGGTTGTATGTTTAAAAGGGAAGCAGGGCATAAAAGTTAGGAAAATTTGTAGCCTGACCATGAGGTAGAAAAGAAAAACTCATTTTCTGGAAAGGAATTCAAGCCTGCTGCAGAAAGTTGCATAAGTAACAAGGAGCCAAATGTTAATAGCCAACACAATGGGGAAAATGTCTCCAAGGCATGTCAGAGATCTTCACAGCAGCCCCTCCCATCACATGCCCAGAGACCTAGGAGGGAACAATGGTTTCATGGGCTGTGCCCAGAGCCTCGCTGCTCTGTGCAGCCCTGGAACATGGCACCCTGCATCTCAGCTGCTTCAGTTCCAGCTGTGGCTAAAAGGGGCCAAGGTACAGCTTAGGCAATTTTTTCAGAGAGTGCAAGCCACAGGCCTTGGTGGCTTCCATATGGTGTTGGGCCTGCAGGTGTGCAGAAGACAAGAGATAAGGTTTGGGAACCTCCGCCTAGATTTCAGAGGATATATGGAAACACCTGGATCTCCAGGCAGAAATCTGATGCAGAGGTGGAGCCCTAATGGAAAACCTCTGCTAGGGCAGTAAGGAAGGAAAATATGGGGCTGGAGCACTCACACAGAGTCCTCACTGGGGCACTGCCTAGTAGAGCTGTGAAAAGAAAGCCACCATCCTCCCGACTCCAGAATGGTAGATCCACCAACAGCTTGCACCATGCACCTGGAAAAGCCCCATGCACTCAATGCCAGCCTGTAAAGGTGGCTGCAGGGACTGTAGCCTGCAAAGCCACAGGGGTGGAGCTGCCCAAGGCCGTGGGAGCCCACCCCTTGCATCAGCATGCCTTGGATATGAGACATGGAATCAAAGGAAATTTTGGAGCTTTAAGATTTAATGACTGCCTGGCTGCATTTTGGACTTGCATGGGACCTCTCTAGCTCCTTAGTTTTGGCCAAGTTCTTCCAATTGAAATGGGAACATTTATCTAATTCCTGTACTCTCAGTGATTCTTGGAAGTAACTAACTTGCTTTTGATTTTACAGGCTCATAGGAACAAGTGACTTGCCTTGTCTCAGATGATACTTTAAACATGGACTTTTGAGTTAATGCTGGAATAAGTTAAGACTGGGGGACTGTTGGGAAGGCATGATTGGTTTTGAAATATGAAAACAACATGAGATTTGGGAGTTCCACATGGCTGAAGAGGACTCACAATCATGGCGGAAGGTGGAGGAGGAGCAAATGCACGTCTTACATGGTGGCAGGCAAGAGAGCGTGTGCAGGGGAACTTCCCCTTATAAAACCCTCAGATTGCCAGGCATGGTGGCTCACCCTTGTAATCCCAACAGTTTGGGAGGCCAAGATGGGTGGATCACCTGAGGTCAGGAGTTCAAGACCAGCCTGGCCAACATGGCAAAACCCTGTCTCTACTAAAAATACAAAAATTAGCCAGACATGGTGGTGGGCAGCTGTAATCCCAGCTACTTGGGAGGCTGAGGCAGGAGAATCACTTGAACCCGGGAGGCAGAGGTTGCAGTGAGCTGAGATCACACCATTGTACTCCAGCCTGGGCAACAAGAGTGAAACTCTGTCTTGAAAAAAAAAATACCATCAGATCTCATGAGACTTATTCACTATCACAAGAATAGCGTGGGAAAAACCTGCCCCCATGATTCAATTACCTCCCACTGGGTCTCTCCCATGACACGTGGGGATTATGGGAGCTAAAATTTAAGATGAGATTTGGGTGAGGACACAGCCAAACCATACCACTATGTCTTTAGAAAATTTTAAATTCATATCTTAAATTTTTTTAAAAAATTTTATGTTGGTTTTCATCTTTCTCTGGCATCTTTTTCAGTAGCTTAATAATCAATCTTTTGAATTTTTTTAATCTGTTATTTCAAAGATTTTGTCCTAGTTTAAATCCATTGCTGGAGGGCTAGTGTGATCTTTTGGGGGTGTTATAGAACCATTTTGCCATATTCCCTAAACTATTTTACTGGTTTCTTCTCATTTGGGTAGACTATTTTTTTCAGTTATTCTTGAATTTATTTTTTATTTCACTGTTTTTTTTTAATTTTTCCCCCCACCCTTAAGGATGCAACTTTAATATTTACAGTTTATTGTAGCCTAATTTGGCTCTTGGTGCTTTGAAGGGTAAAGACTGTATGAGTTCCTTGGTTAGAGAGAGTCTCTATAATGATTTCCTCAGATGCTGGTTCTAATAGCTATGTGCTTGGTGTTTAAGCATGTTCACTGTCTCCTATGGTGTATAAATGGTAGAGGTCTCTTGAAACATCTCTTTCTCCCATGGTGTGTATTTATTTATTTAGATATTCCTCAGTATTTTATTTACTGGGTTGAATAGTTTAAGCTTCAGGCCAATAGTGGAAGTGTCCACAGTTATAAATTGGCTGTGGCTAAAGCAGGTGGGTAAATGCAATATCAAATGGTGGGAAGAGGTCCTGGTCTTGACAGAGGTGGCTGGGAAAGCTTTCAGTGAAATGCACTGAGGTCTTATCAGAAAGAATGGCCAGAGCTTCCTCACCTATTTTGACAAGCCAGCAGAGAAGCTATCCACCTCCCAGACACACTCCTGTCCCCATGCTGCAGCTATTCAAGGCATACAGGCATCTCTTTTATACACAGAAATGTTGATGTTCCAAGTAGAGAAGAATTGTGACTTTACCTCTCATGCAAGCCTGCACCTGGAGGGTGCTCTTCCTGTGGGGTTGCAGTCACCTTGAAGTGTTCTAAAGAAGCTGTCTATAGGTGCACCCACACCAAGCTTTCATGGGAAAAGCCCCAGCTATGTCTGCAGTAGTAGACGAGGGGATAAAGAAGTCCTGTTCTCCAAGACCCTTCAGGAGCACCAGGGATGCCTGACTGTTGGGGTAAAGCTGCAGTCTTTCCCTGATAAGCCCAGCACTGCAACTATGCCTCTGCTGAAAGAAACCTTCCACCAGCCGAAAGATCTGAGACTCAAGGCCTGCTGTCCAGGTTCTTTTTTCCCATGGGGTGTTCCCTTGATGTGGTAAACTTCCCTTTCTCCCTAGGAGTAGAATACCTGGGAGCCAGACTACTTTGAATGCTGTTTCTCCTTTCGGTCTGGTCACCCAGTGGTGTAGCTGCCACACTCCAGGCTGGTGCTAGAGGATGTCTGCAAAGGATTCAGAGATGTTACATGTCCTCCAGTCTCCCAGTATCAGGTACCAGCACAAGCTCTAATGATAGTAGCAAGAAAGTGGTGTAGACTCTGTGAGATTCCTTGGTTATAGATAGCCTTAGTGTGTTGGCTTTCTCAAATACCACTTATAGTAGTAATTAACAAGTTACATGGACAGACTCAGTACCTCCTGTTTAGCCACGGTGGTGCAGGATATGGTAATAGCTAAGGTCATGTACACGATTTCTCCTTCCTGGGCTCAGTGCTATTCTACCTGGAGATGCTGTAATGGACTGTGTTGGCTGACCCTCAGCCAGGAGGTGACACTTTCAAAAGAGCAGTAGCTGTGGTAGTAGCAGTGGAATTTATGCTTGCCTTATGGTACCCAGGGGCAATACTCTGGTTTCTCAGGTGATAGGCAGGGCTATAAATCTCCCAAAAGTTTCTGTCCTTCATGTTAAGCTACCGGGGGTGGGGGCAGTGGAAGGGCAAAGCCAGGTTGGGGTTGGGTCAGGCAGGTCCCTGCTCAGACTCTCCATGTGTAGAGCAAGGAATGGCCCCTGTGAAAGTCAGGGGGAGCAGTTTCTGGCCACTGGGGTAATGTTGCACAGAGGACCATAACTCTCTGCTGCACAGAAGAGTTCAGGCAGGGAGTGGCGAGTACCAGGTGGTAATAAGTCCCACCCAGCTTCCACGCACTTAGCAAGGCAGATCTCCCACATGCAGTTTTCCACTACCCACAGCAAGCTAAGTTCCAGGTTGTCTACACTCAAAACTTAAAACTGCCCCAGGTCATAAGCTTTCCCCATGGAGACAGAAACCACTGCATTCAGGCCACACCTCTCCCAGTCTGCTGGCACAGCCAGGGCACCCAGCTCCTGCACTTGTGGCTGCAGCACGCTTCCCACTCACCTCCTGGTTCTGGTGAAGGGGCTTCTGCCCCACTAAAGGTTACAGCATAAAATTAAGTTGGGAGCTTCTTTCAACCTGTGACCACTGCCTGAGTTAGTTGGCAGATTTCTGTGACGTCTCTTGTGAGGCAGGATAAGGAATGGCTTTCTTGGACCATGCTGAAGATGGGAATGCATGCAAGGCTCTTCCCACCGCCATTCCTACTTTTATATTTCTCACCACTCTCTTACTCAGTTCTGGCACAGCGTAGGGTTAAGGCCTTCCCCTGTGGTCTGGATTTCCATTTTCCCCAGTGGGGGTGTATATTCTGCAGGCGGTGTCTCTCCTCTCACATTCTGGGGACTTAACAGTTTTTCACCTGGCTCACGGTGTAGGTGGCAGCCTGCTGCTTCTTTCAAATAATCTATGGATTTTAGTTTTCCCATTAAGTTCCTGCATTGTTTCTTGGGTGAAAAAGTTCACAAGGTGAATATCTACACACTATTTTGTGTTTTCAAGTGGGAGAGGCATGCGAACACTGCCTTGAATCTGCCATCTTTGGGGGAAAAACCCACAGGAGATTTTAATGGAAAAGTCAAAACCGGACTGATAATATTTTTATTTTAATTTATAAGAAAGACATAAAATCTTCCAGGTAAATCAAAAAGAAAGAGCAATCCTCTGAATTATTCTGATTCATACATTTCGACCTGGAATTGGAGGAGAGTAGATGGTACTAAAGTAAGCCTAAGAAGTTCTAAGGCTTATCAACATCAGGCTATCTCTGCAGATTGCCAGGCATGTGGTTGGAAGCTGAAATATTCAAACGCCCAGATGTTTGGCTAAACAACATCGGATTTCTAGATATTTAGGAATCTCCAAATTTTTAAATGCTTTGTTTTCAGTTTCACTTCACATTTAGGTGTTACATGGAATCTTGAATACAGAAAGGAAAGAGTGGAGAAAATTTTTCATACAAACTCTAGGCATTTAATTCTGCACTAAGAGAAAAAGACCTACTGGAGATCAAGCATGAATAGTGAGAAAGTTACACACGGTATAACCAATCACAAATGAGCAATTAAGCAAACTAACAAGCAAGCAAACCCCCAGCCATACAATAGCCAAAGCATGAGCAGCTTTGCAAATACCTGTTATTGAAACAACCGAAGTCAAATTGGACTGATCTACAACATACAAAGTCATTTATACGAATGGGAAAGTCAGTATTACATGGTGGTTAAGAGCAGGAATTTTCATATCACCAAGACCTAGGTTTAAATTCTGACTCTGTAATCTTCATTAGCCTCAATTTCTTCACCAGTAAATAGGGATATAAATAGGTCTTGCCTCATAGGGCAATGTGAACATTAATGAGATAATGCATTTAAAGTCCTTAGCCTAGTGTTTGACATATGGTAAATACTTGATATATGTTAGCTTGAAAAAATATGAGCTTTTTTGTAAAATTTTAACATAATAGGAAGCTAGTATGACTATTTTCACACATGGATTAGTCTTTGCAATTATTCACAATAAACTCATTTACCTACAAATGAGTCACACACCTGTAGATAAATCGAATTTCGATAAATTAGAGACATTATAATTTTTATTCCAAACAAAAACTTATGCAATATTGTCAACAAAATATAAATATATCTAACATAGCAAGATTTTACTATTGCCTAAAACATATTAAGAAACTTTATCTGAATAAAAATGTTTTTAGAGATAGCATCATACTGTTAGATAATGGAGCTTCAAAAGAGATATTATAAAATTTTACATCTCATATTATGATATCTTGGCTTTACAATGTTACTAAATAAAGACATACAATATAGAAGAGGGAATAAAGAATAAATTACAATTAAAGAATATGTTCATATTCATTCAAATCAAGTAACTTGCAGGTTCAATTAAACAGAAAGTACCCTCAGTTCATTTTATGTACTGGATATATTTTTTTAAAGAGATAACCAGTAAACAATATCATACCAAAGTTATACTTTTTTTAAAAAAATAATTTTCCAAGAAATGTCATGTGGGCCAAAAGAGTAATACATTCCAAATTTCTGTACTCTATAATGAAGTCTGCTCTTCATATATGCATCCTAAAGCTCTAGAAGAACTCATTAACTCACCACCAGTTATTCCTCAAGATCCCTAGCCAATTTGCCTTCTTAGCTGTAAGGGGGAGGTTTAGTAAGGACTAGCTGGAACTGGAATTCTCAATATTTAATTTTAATAATCTATATAAACTATATGGAAACACCAAAAAAAACTTATTCAGCTAATTAATTTGAATATGCTTACTCTCAACAAACCATATTGTATGTACTAGAATTTACGATGTTGAATTAGTCATAGTAAAACATTTTCAAATTGCTTGTCCTCCTCATTTTAAAATGATAGAATTAAAAAGGCTACTATAGTAGGCAGCTTCTAAGAAGGCCCTCAATGATCTCCACCTCCTGGTATACACATCTTTGTGTCTACTCTCCTCCCCTTGAATGTGGGCTGGAATTCATAACTTGCTTCTAACAAACAGGATACAGCAATAGCAATGGAATGTCACTTCCAAAATTAGGTTACAAAGAAACTGTGGCTTCCATCTTGTACACCTTCTCTTTCATCTCACTCACATGCTCTGAGGGAAGCCAGCTATCATATCGTGAGCATCCCTATGGAGAGGCCCACATGGCAATAAACTGATATCTCTAGCCAACAGCCAGGCAGAATCTGAGGCCTGCCAGGAACCATGTGAGAGAAGCTGGAAGCAAGTCATTCCCAAGTTGAGCTCTGAGATGACAGCAGCTGCCAACATTTTGAATGCAACCTTGTAAAAATCTCTGAGTCAGAGGCTTTCAGCTAAACTATGCTCAGATTCCAGACCCACAAAAACCATAACACAAATGATTGTTATTTGTGTTACAGTTGACTGTATAAGCCTCTAAGTTTTAGGGTAATTCATTACACAGCAATAGATAAATAATATTGCTACTGAAATCAATAATACACCAATTGCAGAGATTCACTGGAGTCCAGGTTTTATTTTCACTCACTTCCATATTTTACCCATTTGTTTCTAAGAGCTGTGATAATGACATTTTAATTGTTTATATTTTGTTTCCATCATTTATTTCTGATATAGGTGGGTGCACAGTTTAGAAAGTTCATGAGCAGTATCTTTTTCACTGACAACTGAATCACATATACTTTTTCTTTTTTGTCTCTATGCAATTTATAAAACATAGAGGAAAATCTCCTTAGGTCTATAAAGGTGCTGGGTAGAATGAGGAAAAGGAATGCGTGATTACACAAGATGACCTTTAAGTTCCTTTCCATTACTAAAATTCTATGACTCTATGAGAAGGAGAATTTTTTGTCATGTTTTTCTCTTCCTCCTCCTCTTCTTCTCCTGCTCTCCGCTCATCAGCAATGTATATGTTCAATGTGAACTACATGGCTCCTTTTTGGAGGTGAAAGGCTAGAAGCATCTGTGCTCAGGTAGTCTCCCAAGTATGCAGCTGTCACTGTTCAGTACCTAATGTGGCAACTGCCAGAGCAACCTGGAAAGGTGCCAACTTCTGCTGAAAGGCTGCTGCAGTTGGGCAAAAGCCTGGTTGGAGCAGAGAATCTCATAGAGTATATTATAGAAAGAAAGTGTTTTTCTGCCCTTGACAGTTATGGTAGGCATATTGTTGCAAAGTTTGCATTTATGAGGGGATAATCAGGGTAAATATTTTTCTATAATAATGATAACTTGCATTTATCTAGTGCTTTATGCTTTGGGGTTGGTCAAGCAAGAAAAGTGAAATAAAGAGATTAGATCAATTGCCCATATATATACACAGCTGTGACCTAATCTTTAGACCTGAGTCAAGCCCAGAACTTGTCTTTAGATTCCTGGTTTGCTGACCTTTAATTATTGTGAGGCTTTCTCTGTTTTAAACACAATATTATTTTCTAGGAAGGGATAATAAGTCAATCAAACAAATTGCTAGTATAAAAACGTTGTTCTATATTTTTTAAACAGATGGATCATTATGTCATAGTTTTATTTAAAAGAAAATTTAATTCCAATATAAACAAGATGGTAGTCAACTTCAACTTGAATGGCCATAACTCAAGGATGAAACACCAATGGTTTTGCAAAGTTTTATAAAATGATGTACAAGAGTCTAAAGGTAAAATAGTATGGCAATTTATTTAAAGGAGTTAGCACAATAATTAACTCAAAATTTATTTCTAATATCCTGAGAATATTTGCATTCTGATATCTTAGTTGGCCTCTCAAAGTAACATCACTACATCACAATTTTAAATATGCCCTTTGATTAACTGATATTGTGAAATAACAACTGGAGGAAATCTGCAGCCTGAAATACCTTGGAGCATTAAAACAAGTAAGAGGGTTTTATTGAGTACACATGGACATATGTGTATTTAAGGATGAATGGTGGGAGGAGGGAAAGAATTCAAAAACTCCTTATAGGGTACTATGCTTATTACCTGGATGATAAAATAATCTGTACACCAAACCACTGTGACACACAATTTACTTATATAACAAAACTGGACATGTACCCTTGAACCTAAAATAAAAATAATAAATAAATAAAACTTTAAAAATTAATAAAGTAATAAGGTTTTGTGGTTGGTCATTTTTAATAGCCAAATGCATTCTCTCATGCATATATGTTTTTAATTCAAGAAATAAAATGCATGGTGTTAAATTTTTTAATATTATCTTTATTGTAGCAGCATTTCCAAACCAAAAAAAAAGCCTAAGTAATATCAAATGCTAACCTTCACTTTATGCCAAATTCACTTCTAATCATTGCTCATTGGTGGAGATTGTTTACCTATTTTTAAAAATCGGTATAATTTGTTATTAAAATGTAATTAGATTTCAAATTATCCGTACTAACAATTGATACAAATAAAAAATTAAATACTCAATGTTGGTTAATTTAAACATTTGCTGGGTGAGTAATTCTTTCAAAATAGCAGCTTAATACAAGATCTTATCTAATAGAAATCATACACAAAAACAACAGAGACAGATAATCTTATCTTTCAAGTTGGTACTCAACTTGAAAATTTTGAATATTTAGATACCAAGGAATTGGCATCATTGACCTTCAGGGTTAGAGTGGGAAGCAGAGCAATAGTGGAGGATTAGAGTTATAGAAGTAGTCGGTTCCTTAAGAAGACTAGAGAACTAGAGAATGGAAGGATATTTAAGTAGAAAGAGATAAAATGCAATGATAGCTTTTTTTTAATTTGAATGTAATTCAAAACCTTTTTAAAAACACAAGTCGAAAAATCTTTTTTTGGTCTAGAATATTTTATGTATGAATTTAAATTTAATACTACTATGAAATGATAAATATAATAGTAATAAAATATATGATACATAAGTAAAATATTTTGTCTTTAAAATATTCACAACACATCTGTGGAATATGCATAAAGAAAATTTAACTCTAGGTGCCCTATGTTTTTAATACCTTCATTTTATAAATGACATACAGATCGTCTAGCATATCAACAGGATTCTGAACATCTAATACCAATTAATGGCTAGCTGCCATAACACAGATATGAGAAATGGGATCAGTACATGGCATAACAGATGGTATTATTCCATACAGATGGTGCTTTGTGCTATATTAAATTAATTTGTAGAACTTAGAAACATATATTTATGTTTTATGGTGCCAGTATCCTATAAATTGTGACATAGATAAAATATAATACAGAATTTGGAGACAAAGGAGGGTGTCTTGTTGACTAAGAATATTTTTTGATAGCTACTAGACTAAAAAGTGATTTTTGGTTATGGAGCACCACCTAGAGGAAATGTAAGAAAAAGTCCTTAAGCAAGAATGGAGTAAAATGAAAATCAAATTTAAAACAATCACATAAAAACCCTAAGGAACCAACAACTTTAGTATTATATATAATTTTGAAGTTCTACTATCATCCAGCCATCAATCATTTTTTATTTTAAAAGTAACTTTTTAAAATTATTTTTTCCATAGGTTATTGGGGCTACAGGTGGTATTTGGTTACATAAGTTCTTTAGTAGATCTGTGAGATTTTGTTGCACCCATCACCTGAGCAGTACACACTGCACCCTATTTGTAGTCTTTTATCCCTCAACCCCCTTCCCACCCCTCCCCCCAAGTCCCCAAAGTCTATTATATCATTCTTATGTGTTTATGTCCTCATAACTTAGTTCCCACATAGCAGTGAGAACATACGATGTTTGGTTTTCAATTTCTGAGTTATTTCACTTAGAATAATAGTCTCCAATCTCATCCAGGTCACTGCAAGTGCCATTAATTCATTCGAAAAAGTAAAGTCTTTTTGTTTTTTTTGAAAAAGTAAAGTCTTAGTAGTGTTTTATATGATGGTTTATTTATAATTTCTATTTCTTTCTGAGGAGTTTTCTACAACACAATTCTTTTTAGAATGGTAGAGCTGAAAAGGACTTTAGAAATCATGTGGACCACTTTCTTCCTTTTACAGGTGAGGAACATGAGGCTCAGAGTAGAGAAATAGCTTTCTCAGGGTCTTAATTACATTAATGATAGGACAAGGACTAAAATATATAGAGTCCTTCCTCATTCTAACACACTACCCTTTAAACTGTATCATGCTGAATAAATAGACGTTACTTTTGATTGAACAAAAGATCAACAAGACTACTGAAACTTCTCTAATCTTACTAAAACGTCTACCACAGAGTGATTATATCCTTATCCTCCTAACACATTTTTAAAACACATCTATTTGTATGTAATGGAAATCAATCTTTTTTCCCTTCTAGTTTAGAAACCTGTTAGAGCTGAATAACTGATGAGTTTTTGGTAGGTTATAACATTAAGCAACATAAAAACTGAGATGTGGAGTATAAAATGGATAAAATTAGTAACTGTTTCCCTAATGTTAGAATGAGAACTTTTTGATCCACCACCCTCCACTGGTAATAATAATTAATATATAACTCATTTCTACTGGAGAATTACTGAAATGAAAGAAATGTCAGTCCATGTGATTAGTAGAAAGTACACTGGTTTTGTTGTCAGAGATCTGGATTTGAAACCCAAATACACCACAAGCTGCATAAATTTGGACAAGTCATTGAGGTGTCCTAAACCTCAGTGTCTTCACATGCAGAAGAAACTTCTAATAATACCAACTTCTAAGGGTTGTTATAGGAATTAAAGTGAGATAATGCCTTCAGAACCCTTAGCACAATGCATGGCTAACAAATGTTTACTTCTAATTGAGAGAAAAGCAATGCCAAGAATTAGTAAATTTCATATTAATTTCTAAAAAACAAATGAAGATTTCTTGAGTATAATGCTCCCTGCCAAAAAACTGACTGTTATGTGAGTGGGGGTGGGGTGGGGTCCTCAGACCTCTGTTAAAATGCAAATGTAGGAGTCCTATTTTGAATATTGGAATCAAGGTCATTGGGGTTGTTTTTAACATAAAACTGCGTACCATGAATCTCCGAAAAGAGTTGCAATGGTTCTCAATCAGGGTGATTTTCTCCCCAGAGGATATTTGGCAATGTCTGGAGACACTTTTGGTTGTCCAACTTAGGTAGGGGTGTGGTAGAGACATCTAGTGGGAAGAAATCAGGAATGCTGCTAAACATGCTACAGTGTACAAGACAGCACCCACACGTCATACACACACACACTAAATTATGCACCCAAAAATGTCAACAGTGACAAGGTTGAGAAACCCTAGATTATGTATGCAAGTTACAGTTTATCAGAAACTAATAATGAATACAAGTTTGATAAATATTTGAAGTATTTGCTGTGATAGGCACTTGAACAAAATAAAAGTTTTCATTCATAAAGTCTTAAAAATCCAAATATATTATACCATTTAATATATGGAACATATATGGAACATTTGTTCCATATACCTGAAAATGTGACTACATCACCTAGGGATATTTGTAAAGAACTTTATTGGCCTAAGACTTTCAACTGTCCATCTTGATTTTTTTTCATTTCTAGTTATTCTAAATAGAAACAGATTTATTATAAAACTTAGATCACAGCCCCAGGCTTCAAGTAGCTTGCAATCTGCTGAAAAGGTAAGACATGCATTCAAGAAAGTCTGCTATTCAAGAGTCCTATCTCATTCACCCCTATATCTCTTGTGCTCGTCACAGCAGCTTGGAATACAAAATACTCAATAAATAGTCTTAAATGGAAATAAAACAACTAGGGAACAAGGTCCAAGAGTATAGGGTTAAGTGAAATATTAATAAATAATGTTGTAGAATTGAGAGAAGGGAAAAATCTGTATAACTTTAGTAGTAAAAATAGTTCAGGAAAGTTTCCTTTAAAGAGGTACATGTTAAATAAAATATAAAATTGTAGACAATATAAATATAAAAGTAGACAATTTGAAGTTCTAACTTCTGCTTGCTTAAGTTTAGTCACTCTCCCCTTAAACTCTATGGTCTAGCTAATTGATCTGAAACTACATGGTCTGAACTAATTCAATTTCGCCCCAAAACATCATGTTCTCTATGACACTTCTTAGGCTTTTATACATGCTGTTTTTTCTGTCTGGAACTGACTTTCCAACTTTATCCACCCCTTCAATCTTCTTCACCTGGTTAACTCCTACTCATCATTCAGTTCTCTGCTAGATATTACAGTCTCTGGGAAATCCTCCATGACCTCCACCAAGATTAGGTTAGGAGTTTTTTTATGTTCCAATAATACTTTCTACTTCAACCGCAGCTCTTGCCACACTGTATGATAATATTCTGTTTACATGTCAGTGTTCGCCATCAGTCAATAAGCTTGCCATGTGTAGGAAATGTGCCTGGTTCACGTTTGTATTTCAAATATCTACCACATTGCCTAGCACAGAGTAAGCATTCAGGAAATATTTGTTGGATAAAAAAATGAATAATGTAGAACTAAGATGAGGAGAGATGATAGGACTATAAACATAAGTTGGAAGTCATTAAATCAGAGATGGTAGCTAATGCCAAGAGACTATGAGTTATCTAGAGAAGAGAGAAAACAGAAAATAGCCAAGGGATAAATATTCACACTTTGGTAATAACAACTAAGAAACATGAAAAGAAATTAGAGTAAATATAGAAAACAGAAGGGACAATTGGAGATTCAGGAAGACAAATGGAATGGTATAGTATCATAGAAGCCTAAGTTGGAATTTCAAGAGGATTCTGTCCCAAGCAGCGAAACCACAGGATGGAGAAAGATGGTTAGATTTCACATTTTTTCCACAGTAGCAGTAGGAATAGCAGCCTGATTGAAGGGATTAAGGAGTAAATTAAGCTAAAAAGGCATAGAGACTTCAGTATGAGTCTTAGTCCAACTAGGAGAGAGAGAGAGAGAAAGAGAGAGAGAGAGAGAGAGCACACAGTAAATTGAATAGAGGAAAGTTTAAGATAAAGAATGTTATATATAACAGCAGACGGGAATAATGAGGGATTGGTTAGTAAACAGTAAGGTGACCTTTAAAGAATATAGGAGTAGCAAAAATAAGGAGCAACTACTACTTCTAGGGCTGAAATAGAGCACCCAAGGAAGAGCATTCCCACCCCACTCCAGCCCAGGGCTGAGATCCAGACCTTGTTGGAGTGGACGCTAACATGAAAGATCAGTCACTGTGGCATTACGCAGGTGGAACTTGCTAGAAATTAGTCCTTTAGGGATTACCGGAAAATCACCCTCTAAGGAGCCTGGGAAATCTAATCATGCCAATGTGTCTCATTTGGAAGCTGTCTGCTAGAATAATGCCTGAGGGGCAAGGAGTGTCAATGGAAACTCTGGGAGGTGAGCACTGAAGAAGCTGCCCATGGTGCGGAAGCTGGGCAATGGGGAAGCTACCATATGCTTTAGGTGTCTGCGGGTAAAATCTCCAGTGAGAAAGACTGCAGAGAAACTGATGTCTTCATGTGACAGCCAGATTTTGTTGGGGGTGATAAACAGGTTTTAAGACAAAATGAAATTTGCCTACAAAGAATCAGGGGCTTCATAAAGCACCTTACTAAGAAGAAAAAGAGAAAATATAGGACAATTGAGAGTAAAATGGAGTGGGGATGTGTTGAATGAGTATTTGTATCTTGAAAGAGGTAACAGAAATAAGAGACTTGCATCTTCATTGAATGGATATCGAAAATTTAAATGGAAGAAGTAATGGGATGGAACTAAAGATTACAGTCAGAATTTTACAGCTAGGAGTACACTCACTGTATAGATATTTTTTTAAAGCTTAAAGAAATTGGTGATTTTTCCACAGTTGTACAATTAATGAAGGAGCCAGGATTAGAACAAAAGTTTCCTGACCCTCACAGTATTACTCTTTCTACTGCATCATGCTGGAAAGGGCTATTTCGAGAGAAGTAAATTACTAATTAGCTCATCAGAATTTCAAAGGACTGGCCGGGCGCGGTGGCTCACGCCTGTAATCCCAGCACTTTGGGAGGCCGAGGCGGGTGGATCATGAGGTCAGGAGATCGAGACCATCCTGGCTAACAAGGTGAAACCCCGTCTCTACTAAAAATACAAAAAATTAGCCGGGCGCGGTGGCGGGCGCCTGTAGTCCCAGCTACTCGGGAGGCTGAGGCAGGAGAATGGCGTGAACCCGGGAAGCGGAGCTTGCAGTGAGCCGAGATTGCGCCACTGCAGTCCGCAGTCCGGCCTGGGCGACAGAGCGAGACTCCGTCTCAAAAAAAAAAAAAAAAAAAAAAGAATTTCAAAGGATACACATAAAATGCATTTGATGATGTTAGCTCAGGTGGGAAGCAAGGTTACTCAAACTAAGAAATTCACATCAAACACACTTGTAGAAAGATTTTAGTATTGTAATGCACTTTGAAGAAAGGGTAGGTACTTGAGGACTAGTGATTTAACTTTAGCTATATTATTTAAAATATAAAACAATAGGCTGGGCATGGTGGCTCACACCTGTAACCCTAATACTTTCGGAGGCCAAGTCAGGAGGATTGTTTGAGCCCAGGAGTTCAAGACCACCCTGACCAACATAGTGAGACACTGCCTCTAAAAAAATCTTTAAAAATTAGTGGGGCATGATGGTGCACATTTGTAGTCCCAGCTACTCGGGATGCTGAGGTTGGAGGATGGCTTGAGCCTTGGAGGTCAAGGTTGCAGTGGGCCATGATCACACTATGCCCAGCCTGAGCATCTCTTAAAGATGAAAAACCAATGCTGTGGCCAAACTCTCTGCCTGGATATGAAAAAGACATCCCAAGATGAGTGGGGTTGCGAAGGAAGCCATCATGGTCCTGAAAAAGAGCCTAAACCAGGCCTGCTAAGTCTGAGTTTGGAGCAGCAGAGACCCCCATTGGTGTGAGTTCCTGGAATATCACTTCCTAATAGGAGGTGAAACTCATTGAGAAGATGGATGACTACCTGACCCACCTCCACAGGCTTGCAGGCCCCAGACCTGGCTGGTCAAAAACTTCTTGTTGACAACTTGGATTCTCCCAAGCCCAGTGACCTATGACACCCAACAGCCTTCCCATGATCCTTCTGAACTGGAGGTTGTGCCAAAGCCACTTTCTCCAGTGTAAGACAGATTTTTAACCACCCTAGAACTCTCTCCTAGTTGGTCGACCAAATGAAAACAATAAAACCTCTTTTTTTTCTGCCATAAATAATATAGACAGACAGGTAGATAGGTGATTGAATAAAAAATATATATTTTAAATAGCTTTCTTAGTGCCTAGCAATAACCAATTAAAACAATATAAATTGGTGAGAGAAGAAGACCTCTTTCAGAGGTCTTAACAGAGCCCTGATATTTACCAGGCCTTGGGCAAGCCATTAAATCTCTTGGAGTCTTAATTTCCTTATCTCTAAAATGAGCATAATAAATGCCTACTACACAGAATTCTTGTGAGAAATATAAATAATACATGCAAACGTCTAGGCCAATGCTTAGCATATAATGGGTACAAAACAACATTGATCTATCTGAATTCCAGAAGAATTAACATTATTGAGTGAATTAAAATTTTAACAAGGAATATGCAGAACCTTTGTAAAGAAAATTTCACTGAAACATATAAAGGTGTAATTAAGTGAATCAAGAAACATGACAGTAGCCACTGAGTGGGATAAATGTTTATAAATAAATAAATAAAGCAAATGGAAAACAGAAAAAAGCAGGCGTTGCAATCCCAATTTCAGACAAAACAGAGTTTAAACCAACAAAGATCCAAAGAAAACAAAGAAGGGCATTACCTATAAAGGGTTCAATTCAACAAGAAGATCCAACTATCCTAAATCTCTATGCACCCAACACAGGAGCACCCAGATTCATAGAACAAGTTTTTAGAGATCTACAAAGAGACTTAGATTCACACAAAATAATAGTGGGAGACTTCAATGCCCCCACTTACAGTATTAGACAGATTAAGGCAAAAAATTAACAAAGATATTCAGGACCTGAACTCAGCACTGGATCAAATGGATCTGATAGACACCTAAAGAAGTCTCCAACCAAAAACAACAGAATATACATTCTTCTCATCCTCACATGGCACATATTCAAAAATTGATCACATGATTGGATATAAGACACTGAATGACTTTTGAGTAAATAATAAAATTAGGTCAACAATCAAGAAGTTCTTTTTTTTTTTTTTTTTTTTTTTTTGAGATGGAGTTTCACTCTTGTTGCCCAGGCTGGAGTGCAATGACGCAATCTCCGCTCACTGCAACCTCCGCTGCAACCTCCGCCTCCCAGGTTCAAGCAATTCTCCTGCCTCAGCCTCTGGAGTAGCTGGGATTACAGGCATGTGCCACCACCCCCTGGCTAATTTTTGTATTTTTAGTAGAGATGGGGTTTCTCCATGTTGGTCAGGTTGGTCTCAAACTCCTGATGTCAGGTGATCCACCTGCCTCAACCTCCCAAAGTGCTGCATTTACAGGCGTGAGCCACCATGCCTGGCCAAGTTCTTAAACCACCAATGACATTCTTCATAGAAATAGAAAAAAACAATTTTAATTTATATGGAACCAAAAAAGAGCCCAAATATCCAAGGCAATTCTAACCAAAAAGAACAAAGCTGGAGGTATCATGTTACCCAACTTTATACTACAGGGTTACAGTAATCAAAACAGTATGGTACTGGTACAAGAACAGACACATAGATGAATGGAACAGAGTAGAGAGCCCAGAAGTAATGACACACACCTACAATTATCTTATCTTTGACAAAGCTAACAAGAACAGGAAAAACCAAGATAGAACTCCCTATTCAATAAATGATGCTGGGATAACAGTCTAGTCATATGTAGATGATTGAAACTGGACCCCTTCCTTGACTTAAATATAAAACCCAAAACTGTGAAAACCCTGGAAGACAACCTAGGCAATAACATGCTGGACATAGGAATGGGCAAAGATTTGGTAATGAGGATGCCAAAGGCAATTGCAACAAAAGCAAAAACTGACAAATGGGATCTAATTAAACTAAAGAGCTCTGCACAGCAAAAGAAACTATTAACAGAATAAAGAGACAACCTACAGAATGGAAGAAAATTTTTGCAAATATGCATCCAACAAAGGTCTAATACCCAGCATGTACAGGGAACTTAAACAAAATTACAAGAAAAAAAAAACATTCAAAACTAAGCAAAGGACAAGAATAGGCACTTTTCAAAAGAATACATACATGTGGCCAACAGGCAAATGAAAAAAAAGCTCAATATCACTGACAATTAGAGAAATGCAAATCAAAACCACAATGAGATACAATCTCGCACCAGGCAGAATGGCTATTACTGAAAAATAACTGGTGTGGGAGGAGTTGCAGAGAAAAAGGAATGTTTATACACTGTTGGTGGGAATAAAAATTAGTTCAGCCGTTGTGGAAAGCAGTATGGCGATTCCTCAATGACCTAAATACAGAAATAACATTTGGCCCAGCAATCCCCTTACGGCAAATAAACCCAGAAGAATATAAATTGCTCTATCATAAAGACGCATATACATGTGTTTATTGAAGCACTATTCACAATAGCAAAGACACTGAATCAACCTAAATGCTCATCAATAGTAGACTGGATAAAGAAAATGTGGTAGATATATACCATGGGATACTATGCAGCCATAAAAAAGAACAACATCATGTCCTTTGCAGGAACATGGATGAAGCTGGAAGACATTTTCTTTAACAAACTAATGCAGGAAGAGAAACCCAAATACCGCATGTTCTCACTTATAAATGGGAGTTAAATGATGAGAACACGTGGACACATAAAAAGGAACAACAAACACTAGGGCCTATTGGAGGGTGGAAGGTGGAAAGAGGGAGAAGATCAGAAAAAAATAACTAATGGATACCAGGCTTAATACCTGGGTGATGAAGTAATCTGTACAATAAACCCCTATGACACAAGTTTACCTATATAACACAACTGCACATGTACCCCTAAACTTAAAATAAAATTTTTTTAAAAAAAGAAACATGACAGTAGTCACTAAGTAGTATAAAAGTTAAGTAAATAAGTAAATAGAAACATGACAAGCTGAGTGCAATGGCTCATGCCTGTAATCCCGACACTATGAGAGGCCCAGGTGGGAGGATTACTTGAGGCCAGGAATTTGAGATGAGCCTGTGCAACACAGCAAGACCCCATCTGTAAAGAATAAAGAAAGAACGTAACATACATAGCACAACAATTGCAGTCAATACCCTCAATGTAAAATATGAGAGTGGAGAAGAAAAACATGACAAAATTTTTCTGAAGTTTCTCTGAAAAAACAAATAGAAGATAATGGCTTAAAAATGAAAAAGAGAAAAAAATCTTATGTGTGAAAGCTAGCCTTGTCAGATATTAAAATTTAATGCAACCTACAATGATTAAATTAAAATAACATTGGTACCAGATCAATGGAACAGAACAGACAGTGAAGAAACAGACCTTAGTATAACACTTTAATAGATGGCAAAGAGAGTATAATGCAACAATTGTGAAAGTAAAGATATTTAATAAATAATGCTGGAACAACTGATTGGCTATTTCATAAACAATCCTCTCACATCATATAAAATAAATTCCAGCTGGATAAAAAGTAGTTAAATTTTCTTAATACAAAAAAATCAAATTATAAAAATGTAAAATAGTAGAAAAGAAAAGTTGATTATGCAATAAATTTCAGGATGAGGGGTCACTTTCTAAGTTTAGGAACAATGGGAAATAAATTATAAAATAAAACAATAGATAGGATAGAATTTTATAAACGTCATCATTAAAAACAGCATAAATCAAATTTAAAAAAACAAAATTAGAAAACTTACCTGCAACAAATATTACAGAAATTAATATTTGTTGGTTATAGTCTTAATATGTAAGTAGTTCATACAAATTGATAAGAAAAATACAAAAACTCCAGTATATAAATGAATAAGTAATTAGATGATTCACAGGAGATACAATATAAATGGCTAATGAACAAGTAACATGTTTAATTTCACTAAATCAAAGAATTTCAACTAAAAATAGACAGTAATGATTTTATCTAATCTATTAGAAACATATATATGATGGTTTTGTGATAAAGCACTTTCACACACTACTGGAAGAAATAATAAAATTAGTGGGATGTGGTGGCATACCTTACAAGGTAGTTCCAGCTACTTGAGCAGGAGGATTACTTGGGCCCAGGAGTTCAGGGCTGCAGTATGCTATGATCTTGTCTGTGAATAGCCACTCCACTCCAGCCTGGGTAACATAGTGAGATCTTGTCTCTGAAAAAAATTAGTGGGAGTATAAATTAGTATATTTCTGAAAAGTAATTTGGTATTATTTTTGGAGAGTTTTTTAAAATGTTCATATTAGGCCAGGCACGGTGGCTCACACCTGTAATCCCAGCACTTTGGGAGGCCAAGGTGGTGAATCAATTGAGGTCAGGAGTTCAAGACCAGCATGCCCAACATGGAGAAATCCCATCTCTACTAAAAAATACAAAAACTAGCCAGGCGTGGTGGCGCACCTGTAGTCTCAGCTTCTTGGGAGGCTGAGACAGGAGAATCACTTGAACCTGGAAGGCAGAGGTTGCAGAGAGCCGATCACATCTCTACTCCAGTCTGGGCAACAGAGCAAGACTCCATCTCAAAAAAAAAAAAAAGTTCATATTATTTAACCCAGTAATTAATTTAAGTTTTATGAATCTATCATAAGGACTTAATCCAAAATACAGACAAAGATTAATGCATGATTATGTCTAATAGTGCTTTAGTTATGATAACAAAGGGAAATAAACCAACATAGAATATTAAGCTAAAGTAATTATAGTATGTCCAAACAATGTAATTCTTCACAGCTATTAAAAAAATAATGAATAGTTTTTAATGACATAAGAAAACATTTATGCCATACTGTCAAATGGAACAAGAGCAGAAATCAGATACTTTTGGAAACAAATAAGGCATAATGTCAGGTTGGAAAGAAATGTGACAAAATACTAAGAGTGGTTCTTTCTGAGTGGTGCGATTTTTCTGTTTTTGTGATAGTGTTGAAATACTTTTTTTTTATTATACTTTAAGTTTTAGGGTACATGTGCACAACGTGCAGGTTTGTTACATATGTATACATGTGCCATGTTGGTGTGCTGCACCCATTAACTCATCATTTAACATTAGATATATCTCCTAATGCTATCCCTCCCCCCTCCCCCCACCCCACAACAGGCCCCAGTGTGTGATGTTCCCCTTCCTGTGTCCATGTGTTCTCATTGTTCAATTCCCACCTATGAGTGAGATCATGCGGTGTAACTTATTTTTATATTAAAAGGACAAACATGCTTACTGTTAAAAATATATTTAAAAGTACAGAATATTAAAATTGAAAAGAAAAACTTTTCTTTCCTCATCCCTACTATATCTTAAATATTCTTACTGTATAGCTACCTGTGCATGCTTTCAAGCATTTTAAATATACTGACAAAACTGTATTATTTTATACTAATAAAAATTTTACAAAACACAGGAGTTCTTACACAAATATGTGTCCCTAAAATGGCTGATAAAATATTACCTTACCATAAACAAAATAATACTATTTTTGAGAAAAACTTGTAATGACAATACTGTCTTCATGAAATATTGTGCACCTATGAGCTATTCTACATGCTTAAAATATTACCATATAGAACAGATTATTATTGGTCATTGTTGTTCAGAAGTTTATAATCTATATTTCTATAGCTTCAGAGTACAGTATTTAATTATTTTAGAGCAAGATCTAAAAAATCAGTAATTACTGACAAAAGTAAAAAAGTATTCATTGAATTAATTTGCATAGCCAAGACACCTGGTTTGTCTAGGTTCTGCCACTGTTAATAATTACATGTATGATTTTGAGCACTTAAGAATTTTGACCTCATCTTCATCTGTAAAATGTGAGGGGTTTTGACTAGATCTTTTTTTTTATTTGTTTGTTGTTTGCTTGTTTGAGACAGTCTCACTCTGTCACCAAGGCAGGAGTGCAATGGTGTAATCTCGGCTCACTGCAACCTCCAACTCCTGGGTTCAGGTGATTCTCCTGCCTCAGCCTCCTGAGTAGCTGGGACTACAGGCATGTGCCACCATGCTGGGCTAATTTTTGTACTTTTAGTAGAGATGGGGTTTCGCCATGTTGGCCAGGTTGGTCTCAAACTCCTGACTTCAAATAGTCCACCCGCCCCGGCCTCCCAAAGTGCTAGGATTACAGATGTGAGCCACCGCACCCCTCCAATTAGATCATTTCTAGAATCACACCTAGCTTTACATTTTCTACATTTTATGAATCACACAGCTGAATTCTACCAGAGGTACAAAGAATAGCTGGTACCATTTCTACTGAAACTATTCAAACCATTGAAAAGGAGGGACTCCTCCCTAACTCATTCTATGAGATCAGCATCATCCTGATACCAAAAACTGGCAGAGACACAACAACAAGAAAACTTCAGGCCAATATCCTTGATGAACATTGATGCAAAAACTGTCAATAAAATACTGGCAAATCAAATCCAGCAGCACATCAAAAAGTTTATCGACCACAATAAAGTTGGTTTCATCCCTGGGATACAAGGTTGGTACAACATATGCAAATCAATAAATGTGATTCATCACATAAACAGAACTGAAGACAAAAACCACATGATTATCTCAATAGATGCAGAAAAGGACTTCAATAAAATTCAACATCCCTTCATGTTAAAACCTCTCAATAAACCACATATTGAAGGAACATACCTAAAAATAATAAGAGTTATATATGGCAAATCTACAGTCAGTATCATACTGAATAGGCAAAAGCTAAAAGCACTCCCTTTGAAAACTGGCACAAGACAAGAATGTCCTCTCTCACTACTCCTATTCAACGTAGTATTGGGAGTTCTGGCCAAGGCAATCAGTCAAGAGAAAGAAATAAAGTGTATTCAAATAGGAAAAGAGGAATCCAAACTATCTTTGCATGCAGATGCTATGATTCTATATCTAGAAAACAACATTGTCTCAGCCCACAAGCTTCTTAAGCTGATAAGCAACTTCAGCAAAGTTTCAGGTTACAAAATCATTGTTAAATATTTACTGTCATTCCTATATACTAACAATAGGCAAGCAGAGAGCCAAATCATGAATGAACTTCCATTCATAATTGTTAAAAAAAATAATAAAATACCTAGGAATACAGCTAACAAGGAAAGTAAAGGACCTCTTCAAGGAGAAACAAAAGCTACTGCTCAAAAAAATTAGAGAGGACACAAACAAATGGAAATACATTTCATGCTCATGGATAAGAAGAATCAATATCGTGAAAATGGTAAGACTGCCCAAAGCAATTTATAGATTCAACGTTATTAATTGAATAGTTCCATTAAACTACCATTGACATTCTTCACAAAATTAGAAAAAAAACTACTTTAAAATTCCTATTGAACCAAGAAAAGCCCAAATAGTCAAGACGATCCTAAGCAAAAAAAAAACAACAAAAAAAAACAAACAAACAAAAAAAAAAAAGCTGAAGGAATCACACTACCTGACTTAAAACTATACTACAAGGCTACAGTAACCAAAACAGCATGGTACTAGTACAGGAACAGACACATATACCAATGGTAAAGAATAGAGAACTTAGAAATAATACCACACACCTACAACCATCTGATCCTTCACAAACCTTACATAAAAAAGCAATGGGGAAAGGACTCCTTATTTAATAAATGATGCTGGAAGAACTGGCTAGCCATATGCAGAAAATTGAAACTGGACCCCTTTCTTACACCTTATACAAAAATTAACTGAAGATAGATTAAAGACTTAAACGTAAAACGCAAAACTATAAAAGCCCTAGAAGAAAATCTAGGCAATGCCATTCAGGATATAGGCACGAGCAAAGATTTTAAAAGAAAAATGCCAGAAGCAATTGCAACAAGAGCAAAAATTGACAAATGGGATCTAATTAAACTGAACATCTCTTGCACAGTAAAAGAAACTATCATCAGAGTCAACAGACAACCTAAAAATTGGAGAAAATGTTTGCAATCTATCCATCTGACAAAGGTCTACAAAGAGCATAAACAAATTTACAAGAAAGAAAACAACCCCATTAAAAAGTGGGCAAAGGAAATGAATGGATGCTTCTCAAAAGCAGACATTTATGTGGCCAACAGGCATATGATAAAAAACTCAACATCACTGATCATTAGAGAAATGCAAATCAACTACAATGAGATACCATCTCATGTCAGTTGGAAGACAGTGTGGCAATTCCTCAGAGACCTAGAGGCAGAAATACCATTTGTCCCAGCAATCTCATTACTGAGTATATACACAAAGGAATATAAATAATTGTATTATAAAGATACATGTGCACATATGTTCATTGCAGCACTATTCACAACAGCAAAGACATGGAATCAACTTAAATGCCCATCAATTATAGACTAGATAAAGAAAATGTGGTACATATACACTGTGAAATAGTTCTATAAAAAGAAATGAGATCATGTCATTTGCAGCAACATGGATGCAGTTGGAAGCCATTATCCTCAACAAACTAACGCAGGAACAGATAACCAAACACACATGACAACACTGTAACTGTGGTATGTAAACCACTCTTACCCTAACTAGAAAGACTAAACAATAAACAAGTAAAAAAATAATAACTACAACTTTTGAAACCATAGACATTACAATAAGATATAAATAGAAACAACAAAAAAGTTAAAAAGCAGGGGACAAAGTTAAGGAGAGTTTTTATTAATTTGTTTTTTGCTTGTTTGTTTGTTTATATAAATAGTGTCAAGTTGCTATCAGGTTAAAATAATGAGTAGCAAGATAGTACTTGCAAGACTCATCAGAAGCCCAAACCAAGAAACACAAAAAAAAACACAAAAAATTAAAAGCAAGAAACTAAATAATATCACCAGAGAAAATCACCTTCACTAAATGAAGATAGGAAGAAAAAAAATGAGACTACAAAACAACCAGAGAACAAATAACAAAACGACAGGAGTAAGTTCTTACTTACTAATAACAACACTGAATGTAAACAAACTAAACTCACCAATCAAAAGACACACACTGACTGAACGGATAAAAAAACAAAACCCACTTACCTGTTTCCTGCAAGAAACACACTTTACCTAAAAACATGTACATAGACTGAAAATAAACGGGTGGAAAAAGATATCATATGCGAAGGGAAATTTTAAAAAAAGCAGGAGTATCTACACTTATATCAGATAAAATAGATTTCCAGACAAAAACTATAAGAAGAGACAAAGGCAGTCACTATATAATGATAAAGGGGTCAATTCATCAAGTTCATTAAACAATTTTAAATATATATGCACCCAACACTGGATCTCCCAAATATATAAAGCAAGTATTAATATTATTAGAGCCAAAGAGGGAGATAAGCCCCAGTACAATAATAGCAGCAGACAGCACTGGACAGATCTTCCAAAAAATAAACAAAGAAACATCAGCCTCAGTGTGCAATATAGACCAAGTGCCTCCAATAGATATTTACAGAACATTTCATCCAATGACTGCAGAATACACAATTTTTTTCTCAGTACATGGATCATTCTCAAGGATAGACCATATGTTAAGTCACAAAACAAATATAAAAATATTCAAAAACGGAAATAATATCAAGCATCTCCTCTGTCCACAATGGAATAAAGCTAGAAATGAATAACAAGAAAAATTTTGGAAACTATACAAATACATTGAAGTTAAACAACATGCTCCTCAATGACCAGTGGGTCAATGAAAAATTAATGAAGAAAATTGAAAAAATTTTTGAAACTAATAATAATGGAAACAATACAAAACCAAATTTATGAGATACAGCAAAAGCAATACTCAGAGGGAAGTTTATAGCTAAAAGTGCCTATATAAAAAAAAACTTCAAATAAACTATCTAACAATTCACTTTAAAGAGCTAGAAAAGCTAGAAAAAAAATCAAAACCCAAAGTTAGTAGAAGAAAAGAAATAATAAAGATCATAGCAGAAATAAATGAAATGGAAATGGAGAAACAATACAGAAGATAAATAAAACACAAGGTTGATTTTTTTGAAAAGTTAAACAAAATTGACAAGCCTTTAGTCAGAATATGAAGAACAGAAGTTTCAAATAAATAAAATCAGAAATGAAAAAGGAGACATTACAACTGACACTGCAGCTATTAAAAAGATCATTAGTGGCTATTATAAACAACTATATTTCAATAAATTGGAAAATCTAGAAGACATAGACAAATTCCCAGACACATACAACCTACCAAGAATAAAACAGGGAGAAATCCAAGACTTGGAAAGACCAATAACAGGTAACAAGATTGAAGCCATCATAGTAAGTCTCTCATTAAAGAAAAGCTCAGGAGCCAATGGCTTTGTGCTGAATTCTGCCAAACTTCTAAAGAACTAATACCAATCCTACTCAAACCAGTTTTTAAAAAATAGAGTACAAGGGAATACTTCCAAATTCATTCTGCAAGGCCAGTAGTACCCTGATACCAAAACCAAAGATGCATCATAAAAAGGAAACTACAGGCTAATATCTCTGATGAATATGAATGCAAAAATCCTCAACAAAATGCTAACAAACTGAATTCAACAATAAATTAGAAAGATAATTTATCATGAGCAGTATGATTTATTCCTAGGATGCAAGGAGAGTTTAATATATGCAAATCAATCAGTGTGATACATCACATCAACAGAATGAAGGATAAAAACAATCTGATCGTTTTAATTGATGCTGAAAAACATTTGATAAAATTCAACATCCCTTCATGATAAAAACCCTCAAAAAACTGGGAATAGAAGAAATAAATGTCAACATAATAAAAGCCATATATGACAGACACACAGCTAGTATCCTACTGAATAGAGAAAAACTGAAAGGATTTTCTCTAAGATCTAAACATGACAATAATGCCCATTTTCACCACTGTTATTCAACATAGCACTGGAACTCCTAGTAAGAACAATCAAACAAGAGAAAGATATAAAAGGCATCTAAATTGGAAAGGAAGAAGGTAGGTCACTTGAGCACAGGAGTTTGAGACCAGCCTGGGCAACATAGTGGAACCCCTCTCTACAAAAAATACAAAAATTAGCCAGGCATGGTGGCACGCATATGTAGTCCCAGCTACTCAGGAGGCTGAGGCAGGAGAATTGCTTGAGCCTGGGAGGTGGAGGTTTCAGTGAGCCAAGATTATGCTATTGCACTCCAGCATGGGAGACAGTAGTAGAATTCTGTCTCAAAAAAAAAGGACAAAAGATTTGAATAGACATTTATCAAAGAAAACATACAAATGGCAAACAGACATGAAAATGTGCTCAACATCATGGATCATCAGAAAAATGCAAATCAAAACTACAATGAGATATCATCTTACCCCAGATAAAATGGCTTTTATCCAAAAGTCAGGCAATAGAAAATGCTCACGAGGATGTGGAGAAAAGGGAACCCTTGTACACAATTGGTGGGAATGTAAATGTACAACCACTATGAAGAACAGTTTGGAGATTCCTCAAAACTAAAACTTGAGGTACCATATGATCCAACATCCCCACTGCTGGGTATATACCCCTGCCCCAAAAATAAATATATATATTGAAGAGACATCTGCATTCTTACGTTTGTTGCAGCACTTTTTTAAATAGCTAAGATTTCGAAGCAACCTAAGTGTCCACCAATAGATGAATGGATAAAGAAAATGTGATACATATACACAATGGAGTACTATTCAACCATAAAAAATGAGATCCTGTCAATGTGGGCTCTTTTTTGGTTCCATATGAACTTTAAAGTAGTTTTTTCCAATTCTGTGAAGAAAGTCATTGGTAGCTTGATGGGGATGGCATTGAATCTATAAATTACCTTGGACAGTATGGCCATTTTCACAATATTGATTCTTCCTATCCATGAGCATGGAATGTTCTTCCATTTGTTTGTGTCCTCTTTCATTTCATTGAACAGTGGTTTGTAGTTCTCCTTGAAGAGATCCTTCAAATCCCTTGTAACTTGGATTCCTAGGTATTTTATTCTCTTTGAAGCAATTGTGAATGGGAGTTCACTCATGATTTGGCTCTCTGTTTGTCTGTTATTGGTGTATAAGAGTGTCTGTGATTTCTGCACATTGATTTTGTATCCTGAGGCTTTGCTGAAATTGCTTATCAGCTTAAGGAGATTTTAGGCTGAGATGATGGGGTTTTCTAAATATACAATCATGTCATCTGCAAACAGGGACAATTTGACTTCCTCTTTTCCTAATTGAATACTCTTTATTTCTTTTTCCTGCCTGATTGCCCTGGCCAGACCTTCCAACACTGTGTTGAATAAGAGTGGTGAGAGAGGGCATCCCTGTCAATGAAGCCAAAAGAACAAAGCTGGAGGCATCACACTACCTGACTTCAAACTATACTACAAGGCTACAGTAACCAAAACAGCATGGTACTGGTACCAAAACAGAGATATAGACCAATGGAACAGAACAGAGCCCTCAGAAATACTACCACACATCTACAACCATCTGATCTTTGACAAACCTGACAAAAACAAGAAATGGGGAAAGGATTCCCTATTAATAAATGGTGCTGGGAAAACTGGCTAGCCATATGTAGAAAGCTGAAACTGGGTCCCTTCCTTACACCTTATACAAAAATTAATTGAAGATGCATTAAAGACTTACATGTTAGACCTAAAACCATAAAAACCCTAGAAGAAAACCTAGGCAATACCATTCAGAACATAGGCATGGGCAAGGACTTCATGACTAAAACACCAAAAGCAATGGCAACAAAAGCCAAAATTGACAAATGGGATCTAATTAAACTAAAGAGCTTCTGCACAGCAAAAGAAACTACCATCAGAGTGAACAGGCAACCTACAGAATAGGAGAAAATTTTTGCAATCTACTCATCTGACAAAGGGCTAATATCCAGAATCTACAAAGAACTCAAACAAATTTACAAGAAAAAAAACAAAAAACTCCATCAAAAAGTGGGTGAAGGATACGAACAGACACTTCTCAAAAGAAGACATTTATGCAGCCAAGAGACACATGAAAAACTGCTCATCATCACTGGCCATCAGAGAAATGCAAATCAAAACCACAATGAGATACCATCTCACACCAGTTAGAATGGCGATCATTAAAAAGTCAGGAAACAACAGGTGCTGGAGAGGATATGGAGAAATAGGAACACTTTTACACTGTTGGTGGGAATGTAAACTAGTTCAACCATTGTGGAAGACAGTGTGGTGATTCCTCAAGGATCTAGAACTAGAATGACCATTTGACCCAGCCATCCCATTACTGGGTATATACCCAAAGGACTATAAATCATGCTGCTATAAAGACACATGCACATGTATGTTTATTGTGGCAGTATTCACAATAGCAAACACTTGGAACCAACCCAAATGTCCATCAGTGATAGAGTGGATTAAGAAAATGTGGCACATATACACCATGGAATACTATGCAGCCATAAAAAAGGATGAGTTCATGTCCTTTGTAGGGACATGGATGAAGCTAGAAGCCATCATTCTCAGCAACCTATCACAAGGACAAAAAAAACCAAACACCACATGTTCTCACTCATAGATGGGAATTGAACTATAAGAATGCTTGGACACAGGAAGGGGAACATCACACACCGGGGCCTGTCGTGGGGTGGGGGGAGGGGGGAAGGATAGCATTAGGAGATACACCTAATGTTAAATGACGAGTGAATGGGTACAGCCAACCAACATGGCACATGTATACATATGTAACAAACCTGCATGTTGTGCACATGTACCCTAGAACTTAAAGTATAATAAAAAAAAAAAGAGATCCTGTCATTTGTAACAGCATGGATGAAACTGAATATGATTATGTTAATGAAATAAGCCAGGTGCATAAAGACAAACTTCACATGTTCTTACTTATTTGTGGGATCTAAAAGTTAAAAAAAATAGATTTCATGGACATACAGAGTAGAAGAATGGTTACCAGAGGCTGGGAAGTGTAGTGGGGGGCTAGCAGGGGGTGAGAATTGTTAATGAGTACCAAAAGATAAACATAAAAGAATGGTCTCTCTGTCTGGGTAGGTCCAGCAGTGTTGGCCACACACATCCCACTAGTGGTTGGGGTCACTGGCATTGGTTGAATATCACCCCTGGCTTTGGCCATGGCCATGGGAGAGATTTGGCACCCAGAGCCTCCAGGGGCCTCAGCTCAATGTGCACTGCCCCATGTGCAGCTGTGAAACCCAGGCCCTGATGGGCACTGTGGCCTCTGCCCCATTGTGGCCACTCACATGGTCTAGCCCCTGGGTCTGGCCTCCAACCCCTAACTGTCTTCTCTCTGCAGGAAACTGGTCCTCCCACACCTGAGCCCAACACTGCCAGGTCTGTGGAAAGGGGGAGACTCAGCTGTTTCTGTTTTTCAAATAAAACTGTTTGTCTAAAAGAAAAAATAGAAAAAAATGGATAAAACCTACTATTTGATAACACAACAGGGTGACTATAGTCAATAATAAGTTAATTGTACAGTTTAAAGTAACTTAATGAATGTAATTGGATTGTTTATAACTCAAAAGATAAGTGCTTGAGAAAATGGATGCCCCATTCTTCATGCTGTGCTTATTTTACATTTAATGCCTATATGAAAACATCTCATGTACCCCATAAATATATATGTATACCTACTATGTACTCAAACAAATTAAAAAATAAAATAAAAAGCGTAAACCAAAAATAAAGTTCTAAGCCCCCCAACTATCTAAACAGACCCCTCTTCTTGGTTGAAGGCATTCCAAAATTAACCTGATAAACTGGTTTTGGTCATGATGGGAAGTGAGGGAGGTGTGTAAGACATGCCTCACAGCTGACCAGCGTGCACATCAACAAAAGACCTTAAGAATGATAGAACAGACTCTTTAAGTCTAATCAAACAAATTTACTATCTATTTTCCATGAAGTGTGCTACCTGGGGGCTTCATCTACATGATAAAACCTTGGTCTCCACAACCCCTTATTATAATGCAGACACTCCTTTCTGTTGATTCCAGGTGTTTATATAATAACTCTTTCAACCAATTGCCAATCAGACAATCTTTTAATCCACCTGTCACCTGAAAGCCCAGACTTCCAGTTGTCCCACGTTTCCAGACAAAACCAATGTACATTTTACATGTATTGATTGATGTTTTATGTCTCCCTAGATTGTGTAAAACCAGTTGTAGCCCAACCACCTTGTGCACATGTCGTCAGGACCTCCTGAGGCTGTATCATGAGCATGTCCTTAACTTTGGCAAAATAAACTTCTAAATTGATGGAGACTTGTCTCAGATACTCTTAATTTAACAATTGGTAACCATGAAGGAACTCTGAGTAGAGGTTCCCCTGACCTTTGTCAAATCTATCCGTGCTTGGTAACAGTTTGAGCTATCATTATTGCTCAAACCAATAGAAAAATCTACTGGCCTTGGAGGCCCTCCTACAGAGAATCTCTGGTCTCCCAAAATTTTGTTAAAATCTGAGACTTTGTATGACTCCTTTTCTGGAGTTGTACTTTTTTCCAACAAGGAAGGTGAGTTTTCCTGATTCCATAACAATGGAAAGCAGGCAACTCCCTCTGGAGTTTCAGCTTGCCTCCAACAGGGAAGATGAGTTTGAGGTTTTTTCTGCTTCTAAAATAGTAGAGAGCAGTCTTATGCATGGGCCCCATTCCTAGATAAGTAGCTTAGTTCAGTTTTTCTGTCTTGAAAGTTCTCCTTAATGACTAAATGTTAAAAGTGACAACCAACTGGTTTTAACTTCTTACCATTAGAGTACTCAGTAATCACATTGTTTGTTTTGGTTATTCTCCCATTGGATTTGGTCAACTCTACCCATCTTGGTCAAATCTAAATGAGAATTCCAAATTATGGGGAATAAGTCTTCTGAACTGGCTAAAATTCCTCACAGCTGTAGGATAAAAACAAAAACAAAACATGTACTTGGTTTCTCCATTCACTTCCTTTCTTAAAAAAAATTGTTCTTTCAAGTACTTTTCTTCCACCCTATTCCTCCCTCCAATTTTGCCATCTTCAGGACAAAGTGAAAAATTTAGAGAGGGCTTCTAATGACTCAGACACCTTAAAAAACTCAGAATAAAGGTGCCATTCATGCCCCTTTTGTGGTGTTCAGCTTTCTTTGTGGAGTTGCAAGAGTCATGAGTAGATTCTTAAGTCTTGTATTGCATTAACTGACCTCTTTGTGTTTGGGGGGTATCAGAGATTATCTTGTACTACGAGAGAATTTGACCTTGGTGTGTGTAATGGCAGGTGAGAGCTACAAAGTTAGGGGATGGCTGAAGGTGGTTTTCAGGAAGGGGTCTGTGCTGAGTATTTTCCCCTGGTAAGTTGTTGTTTAGCATCCTAATTCTAGTTTGAAGGTGCATTCTAAAAGGTCTTCTCCATTGCCTTTTTCTAAAGACAAAGAGAGTCATCCCCCTTTTGGGTATCCCATTTGGTTTCTAGTTCAGAGGTGCATTTCAAAGAGTCTTCTCCATTGTTTTTTCCTCCCAAAATTAAGGTCAGTTGGTTTGTCTGCACATTTGCATGAGGAACTGAACTGTAATTTGCATAGACAAATGGGAGACTGAGCTACTTGGCTTCAAAAAGAAAGGGGATTTAGCCCCTCCCAGCCAAAAGGCACCCCTGGGTGACTGGGGGCTGAGTGGGAGTGTCTGAGGGTTGACCCCCCAACGATGTGAAGTGACCCTACAAGGAACCAACAAAATTGGTTTGAAAAGGCCTTGTCCAGAAAATGCATATAAGAGCTGATCACTAGGCATTTTGAGCACTCTTGGAGGTGGTAGAACTCTGGTGAGAGAAACTGAGTCATGTAAGAGGGCAGAAATGACTCAGTGGTGAAACACTGTGGAGTCCCACTCACAATCAGAACACATTAATACACACAAACACACACAGACACACACACACACACACACCCTTAGGCCACAGCTCAGGTCCTCTTTTTTAGAAAAAGAGGTGAGAAACAATCTAAGAATGAAGAAAGAGGCTGGGCATGGTGGCTCACACCTGTAATCCCAACACTTTGGAAGGCTGAGGCAGGCGGATCACTTGAGGTCAGGAGTTCGAGACAATCCTGGCCAACATGGTGAAACCCCATTTCTACTAAATATACAAAAATTAGCCGGGCGTGGTGGTGCATGCTTGGAGTCCCAGCTACTCAGGAGGCTGAGGAAGGAGAATCACTTGAGCCCAAAAGGCAGAGGCTGCAGTGAGCCCAGATCATGCCACTGCACTCCAGCCTGGGTGACAGAGCAAGACTCCACCTCAAAATTAATACATACATAAATACATAAAAATGAAGAAAGAGAAGGAGAATGATCCTCTTTTTGATAACCCATTGGTTTTATGGTGCCTCTACTTGCAAGTGTGTGGGTAAAATGGAAAAGTTTGAGGGCATTCCAGGTTTTTTAGTACTCCACTTGGTTACATATTATGGTCTGCTGTACACATTTTAAACTGATGAGCAAATTACATCCAGGAAAAATTCAAAGCCCAAAGGTCAACCTGCAACTATAGAGTTCCTAAGTTCTCTATTTCTCTGTTTTTTTTTTTTTTCTGCCTGCTATAAATCTGTTGTTAGTTTTCTACTGAGGTAAAAACCACTGTTTGGATCCAACTGTTTTCTTTTTGTTTATTTTTTGTTTTTGCAAAGCAATGAGTTTGTATTAACATATAATGGCTATAGTTCTGAAGTAAAATCTATGAGATCCTTGTATGAGTGTGTATGTGTGTGTTTATGTATACATGCATGTATTTTGTTATGTGTTGTGGCCACAAGGTACCAAATTGGATTAAAGTTAAGGAGTATTCATAAATTAAGTAAGTAGTAATCCCAAATGCTTTTCAAGTTCATGTGACTTAAGTAAAATTTTCTATAAATAAGCCAAATATAATATTATTGGTAAAGTAATATTAGAAATGTCTTAAGAATTGTCAACATTTTTGGCTGTATTTATTGATGAAGCAGTTTCATACTTATGCTTGCCAAATACTATTCAGTATCAAAATTTGGCATAAGGGTTATAAAACCATAAACATACCCCAAACAGAATGATATTTGCTTGTGTGCCGGGATTACGTGTGAGCCCACACCTGGCCTGACTTAATTTTAATGAAAGATGTTTTTAATTTCAAAATTCTTTAATTTGTTATTTTTCTAAATTCTTTAGATTGATATCTTAGAAGTTCAACTTCTGCTGTACCTTGCTGCTTCAGCTCTCCCTTTTGAGAAGGCCTGGGATGGTAAATCACTCCTTCAACTTCTATTGGCTCCTGTAATGCTTTTTTTTTTTTTAATTAATAGTCTAAAGTAAGGGAGGGAATTTTTGAAAACAGGGATATAAAAAATGTTATAAGATCTGCCTTTGTCTATACGTCTGTTATGTCTGTATGTTTTATATGTATCATGTGAAAGTGATATTTCACTACCAAACCATATGAAAGAGCTTTAATCAATTGGCTTAAAGAAAAGTAAGTGCTTATCAGACTAATAAAAACTAGCCCTGATGCCTTTTAGTTCACATGACTTTAGTAATATTTGGTAAGATTAATTTGGTAAATTTAATCTTAAAATTCTCTCCAGTAGTTTAAAATCTTTAAGTCATGTTATGTTAAATTAAGTAATCCTCAATTTTTTGCACTGGGAATCTGGTTTACTAAGAGATAAAATAGGAGAGTAAAAAGTAATTTTGGTGAAGTTTATAAAACACAAGAATGTGGTTTTTGCTAGTTTAGAGGCTAGGGTTTATTTTTCTAGTTTAGAGGCGATTCTAAACTTCTAAAAATATACAGACAGCTGGGCGCTGTGGCTCACACTTGTAATCCCAGCACTTTGGGAGGCCAAGGCGGGCGTATCACCTGAGGTCAGAAGTTCAAGACCAGCCTGCCCAACATGGCGAAAGCCCGTCTCTACTAAAAATACAAAAATTAACCGGGTTTGGTGGCATGCATCTGTAATCCCAGCTAGTTGTAAGGCTGAGGTAAGAGAATCGCTTGAATCCGGGATATGGAGGTTGCAGTGAGCCAAGATCGTGCCACTGCACTCCAGCCTGGGAGACAGAGTGACACTCCATCTCAAAATAAATAAACAAATAAATAAATAAATACACATACATATATATACATACATATACACATACATATATATACATACATATACACACTTATATATACATATATATACACACACATATGTATACATATATATACACTCATACAGACAAAACTAAATGAATAAAGAGAAAATTAAAAGGTGGGAAATTAGAAACCTTTGATTCCTCGGTTATTGTTACCTGTACAACGTAAAATGAAATTAAAGAATAATGCTGAGGCTAGGTGGAGTGGCTCATGCCTGTAATCCCAGCACTTTGGGAGGCTGAGGTGGGCGGATCACCTGAGGTCAGGAGTTTGAGACCAGCCTGACCAACATGGAGAAACGCCGTCTCTACAAAAAATACAAAACTAGCCGGGCGTAGTGGTGCATGCCTGTAACCCCAGCTACTTGGGAGGCTGAGGAAGGAGAATCGCTTGAACCCAGGGGGCTGAGGTTGCAGAAAGCTGAGATTGCACCACTGCACTCCAGCCTGGGCAACAAGAGCGAAACTCTGTCTTAAAAAAAAAAAAAAAGAATAGTGCTGAGTTGGACCTTGATGCTAGACAGAGCTCAGATTTAAGTCAATCTGAGTTTATGCCACCAGCCTGAAAGCTGCACCCCAAGGGCAGAATTACGCAGGGCAACAGAAACTAACTCTAAAATCTGTGGTTACCAAGAAGATAGTCAATGTGAGGGAAGGGCAAAACCAACCATAGAGTATAATGTAAAGAAATTGTTCCATTTTGTAGATTTGTGTCATCCACTTCCTGAGAACCCTTTACTATAACAGAATGTAAAAATAACTACTTTAAGGGCAGTATCTTATATTTTAAATGCTACAGAATGAAAGAGCATGTTTGGGTTGTTACAGAACCCATAGCTTACTATTAGACAATCACTGATGGTTATATGTGATCCAGATGAAGAGCAGTTTATTTGTGAGAGAACAAGCAGCCCAGTGGAATGGATGAATGCCACTGTAAGGTCTCTTTACCCTGAGAAGGGGATTTCCCAACTCTCTCTATAAAATACCAAGTGGAGCATCCCAGATGAAGCAGCTGATATTCCTTATGTGCAAGCCATGTAGGACTGGCTTTATGATAACCAAGATATGTCTCCACTGTATATGCCTATTATCCAGGTCATGGTAAAAGTTGTGGTTAAGGGGGCCCCTTCTATATGGGCACCCTGGATGACATTACTCCTGCAGAATCAAACAACTGTTTGAGAAGCCCTATCAAATTTGCTGTCCTTCACGGGTCTTACAGATGCTAATAGAACATTACAGTAATTAACAACAACAAAAAAGGGAAAGGCAAAAGGGAGTCAAAGGACTCATCCCAGAATGGTGAAAATCATTAAATGTTTATTAAGAAATGAAATGAAATGAAAATTGATGGAGTTAAAGCAAACGTCTTTACAACACTATCAAAGGTTGGGTGAAACGAAGCCCCTGCTGGGTCCCCCTACATTAAAAGTTCCCACATCACTTTCCTACGGTTGTCCCAGGTTGGAGGAATTTAAGAAAACAAAAGGGAAAAGGTATAATGAGCAAGCTAACATTACCTGGGGCAATGTCGAGGTGTGTTAAGGTAAAGATTGACAAAACGGCTTGAGTATCTTGGCTCAACTCCATTCTGGGAACCCAAATCCTTTTCCACCAGAAATGGTAAAATGGTCTGGTAGTAGAGAAGAAAAGTTCCTGGGACCAGAACATAAAAATGTAAAGATTGATAGGATTATGAAATCTGAGATGTTTAAACAGGCTTTCTGTAAGGTAGTTGTGACTCCTTTACCTAAATTTCCTATGAAAATGGGAATTGTATCTCACTAGGGGATGTTTTCCCTATCTAGTACTATAAAACTGAAGGCATGTAAATCTGACCTTTGAGAAATGTTCATTGGACACACTAAATGGGAACTAGTAAGATTGCCTGAGCCTACAGAATATAGGGTGGAAGCTAGAGTGCTGGTCAGGACAAATCCTTCATTTGATAGCTCTCTGTGGAGTGTTTATTGGGGCTTATGGCAAATGCCTGTGAGCACTTTCCAGTGACAACTACTGGAAGTTTGGACTAGAGAATTTCCACTTAAGGTACATTTACTGCCTTGCTATGGAATGCTAACTAAAGCTACCCCTATGCTAATGAAAACAATAGTGCCCCAAAGATTTCCATGATAAAATGAATGTGGTTTTTATAGGATCATGCTATCTGGGGATGCAAGGAGGAGATATTCATTAGCAGGGAACCTCTTTTTCCCTTAGGACTGGCTCTAACAGTGTGAAGAGCTGCTAGATTTTTCAGTGCCAGATAAACAGCTCTCATCTGACAAGAGCTGCTTGGCTTGTGAATGGCAGTTCCAAGGTGAACAAACAACATTTTGTTTGAAAGCCTGCTGATTTGGTTAAAGAGAGTCATGAAAATAGTTTTATTTATTTATTTATGTATTTATTAGTTATTTATAGTTTAGAGCAATTGGGTAAAGTATGTTTTTGTGAGCAAATTTACCTTTCTCTCTATCTGAGGTCTCCAAAATTTGGAAACTGTTCATGCATAGTCTGATTTTATAACAATATAGTTATTTGCATAAGTTTACTAAGAGTCTTTAAAAAAAAAATAAGGCAGTTGGAGACACTGGTTATTTTTCCAAGGCTTTGACTAGAATAACATATTTTTAGGTAAAGTTCAGCAAAGCCAACTTGAAAAGAGCCTATATGGTCAAACAATTCTTGCTGCCCTTTATGTAAATAATCAGGCCAAGTATAATAAGCCTAAAACTTACTTCACACACAAATTGGTCTTACTGTAATTTCTCCTTAGTAGAAAAGGAGTACTAGAGGAGAGAAATTGTTTGAAAGGAAAACTATAACACCTTTTACTTGACTACAGCCTTGACTTATGTTTTTTAGTGAAAATTGAATCATGAATTATTTCTGGGCTACAATAATATTCTAAAGAGTATCAGGTTATAATTTTCTTCATGTCTTTAGTTGGCACCCTAATGGAATAGGTTCCTTTTTCTGTTCTGACACGCACATTCTCTTTCTATTGTCAAACTGTTGTTATTTATCTCTTGTAGTTTTACTTATTCTGAGAAAATCAGAATCATGTATTCAGAAGACTAGAGATGATTTGAAAAAGCCTGCAAATCTTTGTCATTTTGAATCCCACTGGGTCCAGTCAGTTTTTCGTTGCAAATGTCCTGCTGCTAAACCTATACAAGCAACTTTCCTCTAGGCCCAGGGACTATCACAGAAGAAGTGGGTGTATGAGATTATAAGGGCCAGTTTTGAGGAATAGAATTAGTTCAGACCCTGCAAATCAAGGATGGGTATATGGATGCCTAAACAGCTGGCAAAATAAGGGACTTTTCCTTCTGGATAATTACATGCATGGTACCATTTCATCCATCACAACCATAAAGAATTTTCTGCTTTCTGTAGAATTAAAAGAAAATTATTACTGAGAGGATATAAAGATATCCGTCATGAAGCCTCCTGGGTATAATAGTTCCAGTTATGATATTTATGCAGATAGATATATACTTAAAAATTTATCAGCACCTTAGGACAAATTGCTAAAAGAGGGCAAAAAGCATTATGGCACAACTAGTCTCTAAACTCCTTAGCCGAAAAGGTTTTAACAAGGCTTATGTATTGTATAGCTAATTGTTATATGCCTGTAACTAAAACGAAGATCACAGTAGCTCGCCATATAGAAGTTAAAAGTAGGTAAGTCAGTTTTGTAACCTCACCTTTGGCTTTTTGTTTGGTGACTTTTATATTATATACAAAATTTTAAGGGTTAATAAATGCCTGTTGATGTCCATTCCTGTTTGGCCTAGAACATTTAAATTGGCTGTAAATATTTTGGCTCTAAGTGCCTTGGCCCTAGGGGTCCCACTGAGGGAGAAGATGGACCTGGGCCAGGCAGCCATGCCACCTTAGTAATACTATGGAACAAAATAGAGGTTTGGTGGCCATCAGTGTCGCTTCTGGCAAATCTTGGCCAGAAGGGGGAGAATATCAACCAAAAATAAAATTCTAAGCCCCTCAACCATCTGAACAGAACCACTTCTTGGTTAAGAGCATTCCAAAGTTAACCTGAAAAACTAGTTTCAGCCATAATGAAAAGTGAGGGAGAAGTGTCAGACATGCCTCACAGCTGATCAGCATTCACATCAACACAGACACTTTAAACTGATAGAACAAGGCTGAGTGCAGTGGCTCATGCCTGTAATCCCAGCACTTTGGGAGGCCAAGGTGGGTGGATCACCTGAGGTCAGGAGTTCAAGACCAGCCTGGCCAACATGGTGAAACCCTGTCACTACTAAAAATACAAAAATTAGCTGGGCATGGTGGCATGTGCCTATTGTAATCCCAGCTACTTGGGAGGCTGAGGCAGGAGAATTGCTTCAACCTGGGAGGCACAGGTTGCAGTGAGCTGAGACCATGCCATTGCACTCCCACCTGGGCAATAAGAGCGAAACTCAGTCTCAAAAAAAAAAAAAAAATACTGATAGAACAGCCTCTTTAAGTCTAATAAGAAACATTTACTATCTATTTTCTCTGAAGCCTGCTACCTGGGGGCTTAATCTACATGATAAAACCTTGGTCTCCACAACCCCTTATTATAACCCAGATTCCTTTCTATTTATTCCAGGTCTTTAGGTAATAACTCTTTCAACCAATTGCCAATCAGAAAATCTTTGAATCTGTCTATGACCTGGAAGCCCCCACTTTTAGTTGTCCTGCCTTTTCAGAAAGAACCAATGCACAGGTTATGTGTATTGATGTTTTATGTCTCCCTAAAATGTATAAAACCAGTTGTAGCTCAACCACCTTGTGCCCATATTTTCAGGACCTCCTGAGGCTTTGTCACGGGCGTGTCCTTAATTTTGGCAAAATAAACTTCTAAAATGATTGAGACTTGTCTCAGATACTCTTTTGTTTACAAAGAGAATACTAATTTTTAGGCTTTGTACAATAACTTACACTATTACTGAAGATAAAAAATTATGCTTCCTCAGTGACAACAAAGATAAACTAAGTCAGCTAACAAATATAATATAGGCTTTTATTCAGATTACTTCACTTTACATCATTCCCCACCTAACAATTCATTACATTTTTCCTGCTGTCAATGTGTTGAATCCCTGTAATTTGTACTGAATCCCCTCACATGTACTCGAAATCTTCAGAAATCCATCACAAATATCTTCATAAGTTTATTAGGAAACCAGGACTGAGGAGCAAACACAGGTTCCATACAAACTGATAAAATCTTGGGCCTTTAAATTAGAGATTTAGGGTTCTCAAAACAGTCACTACAGACAGGGTTAGCTATAAACGGTGTTAATAACTGTTTCACATAAGCAAATATTGAAGAGATAACTATAATACTTTTCCCCTTGAGAAAGCTCTGGTATATGACTAGGATTATAAAATACTGCAATGACTACTTTACTCAAGACTTACATTATAATTTTACAGAATTAAGATAGTCGTTATTAAGATAGAAAAAGCAATGTGCTAGTTAATTCACCATTTTTAATAATAAAATAAATATTCTATCATACAATGCAGCGTCTGAGAAGAGGTACAAAAATTAAAATGCAGAAATTTGATTTGTAAAAGAACATCAGAATCAGATACATCCCCTCTCCATAGAGGGCTCTGCAGTGAGGCCACGGGTAGGGCAACACTCTCCTGGCATAAACAACTTGCTGGCAGCGTCTCTCAGGACTGTTGTCTGGCCTCTCCCAGGGCACAGGGAGAGATAAATTGCCCTGAAAAAAGAGAGGTCAGCTTGCCAGAATCAGAGTTGCTTTGGGTTGGGTGGTGGTGAAGGCAGATATCAGGCAGAAGTTTTGCAGGGATGGCAGGACACAAACTGCAGCCCAGAGCAGCTGGACGTCCTCAACCATGCAGAGAAATAGACAAGCTTACCATTTTAAGTGATTTCTCCTTACTTAAAACACTTTCATCTAGTTTCCGGGAAAACATAACGAAGGGCTTATAAATTGCTCTCACTTGATGCATAAGACTCAATGTTCTGGGGAGTTAAAAGGAATGTGGTTAACATTGTCCAATGCCTTGAGGAGGCATAATAAATAGGGGAGATGAGGCACAGATAAATGCAATTGACTCTTAAATAACAGTCTACTTTCAAAAAGTAAAATAGCAACTGAGAAATGTTCAGATGATGAAGGCATCTTCAGATGGCTTCCTTTGTCATTCCCTGTTTTGGTTTGCACTTATTTTTCCTTTTGGTATTTTTCAAATTTTTTGTTTCTGTCTTTACAATTGTGAAGATATCTGGAGCCTCCAGTGAACTGAGGACTCTCGGCTATTTAGGCTTTTGTGTGTCTGTTTTTCACCTCAGCAGTCTTCATTCTACTTGACTGCTATCCTCAAGATAAAGCAACAGGTAATTATTAAACATCTCCAGGACCAAACAAGTATTAGTAATAGCTGAGAGGCCGCTAAATACCAGGTACTTGGAGAAGTATATAGAATTCAGTCAAAAAAATCCAATCTCTTCATCAAGGAACTGGCATTCCAGGGTACAATGCTCCTGTAGAAAAATGATGTCAAAAATCAAGCTTTAAATTATGTATATGTCATTACCTTTCGAAGTAGCAATGAAAGACATGTAAAGGAGAAGATTGCAGGCCCATGTAAAAAACCCAGAATACTAAGTATCCTTCCAATCCCACTGTCTTATAGATGAAGACAATTGGCATAAATAGCATTACTTTAATCTATTTATCTAAAACTTTCATATTTAGAGAAGGTAAACATGAGAGCATACCTCACTGAGTATTCCAGCTTTGAAACTGACTGGTTTTCATAATTGTAAAGTTAATTAGGTAGACACAATCTCTTAGTACACCAGTCTTCTGGTGTACAAAAGGAATTAAGTAAAAGGTAAACATGGCAAAGTCATTTGGGGACAGAACACTCTCTGAGTGAAATTAACCCAGTGTATATCACTGGAGGGTGATCAGTTGGTGGATTATGTTTAAGAAAGTCACTATGGCTTACTTCTGCCAGAGAGGGCAGGGAGAGGAAAGGTCCACTTCATATTTAGGTTTACTTTAGTTATCTGAAGGATCCTGATGGAACTGAAGCCTCTGTCTTACTTATTGAATAAATATGGGAACATAAACATAAATAAAAGGGGGTCCCATAATCTCAAAAGCATAAAGGTTTGGAACGGCTGAAAAAAGAGAATGAGTTTGTAAACTAAACCACAAAGCATACAAATTTTCCATAGACTTTTGCCATGATTGCAGCCTTGCTCCCTATGTTTTACTATGCCTGTAGAAATATCCTGGAGGCTTTGGGTGGAAGCAGAGCCATTTCAGGAACATAACCTAGCTATGGATAATCGCTCTACACTGGTGCTACTCTATGCCCATATGGCATTTGAGTGTCCTCAATCTTTTAATTTGTTAGATAGGGTAGTAGTAATGCCAATGTCTACAAAGCAGTTTATTGGTTTTAAAAGATTCTGCTTTATTTATTGTTAGGTTTAATAAATATAACCACAGGTAGTAAATGCTAGAGGGTAACTAAATATGGTGAATCTAGAGAAAGAAGGGTTATACTACAAAAAGTAGTTAAAATATTATTTTAAAAAAAAACTTCAGGCAGAGAGCGGTGGCTCACGCTTATAATCCCTAGCACTTTGGGAGGCCGAGGTGAGTGGATCACCTAAGGTCAAGAGTTCAACACCAGCCTTGCCAACATGGCGAAACTCCATCTCTATTAAAAAATATAAAATTAGCCGGACATGGTGGCAGGCACCTGTAATCCCAGCTACTCAGGAGGCTGAGGCAGGAGAATCGCTTGAACCCGGGAGGCGGAGGTTGCAGTGAGCCAAGATCGTGCCAGGGCACTCCAGCCTGGGCGACAGAGAGAGACTCCGTCTCTTAGTACACTTTGTTATAAGTCACTACAGCAATAAAAGACTGAAGTAGAATCTCCTTTCAGTAGGGCTAATTAACAAACATGCCCCAAAATGAAACTGTTTTCTTTGGAGAGAGGAGAGTTGTAATGATTCGTCTTTGCAGCATATATTCTACAATTGTGACCACATATGTCTGGTCGCATATATTTATACTGTTGGAACAAACTAGAAAAGAACTACAAGAAGATAGGTTCTAGAGAATGGAAAATGACAGGGTAATATTAACACCTTTAATTATTAAACTTAATTTTGCCAATACTTTAAAGAGAGTATGTTTAGTTTCCAAAGCTACTCATTATTTAGTGTGTTAAAGCTAGTAAAAGGCCAAGTGCAGTGGCTCACGCCTGTAATCCCAGCACTTTGGCAGGCCGAGGCAGGTGGATTACTTGAGGTCAGGAGTTCAAGACTAGCCTGAACACAGTGAAACCCCGTCTCTACTAAAAATACAAAAAGTACCCAGGCGTGGTGGCATGCTCCTGTAATCCCAGCTGCTCAGGAGGATGAGGCAGGAGAATCACTTGAACCTGGGAGGTGGAGCCGAGATTGTGCCACTGCACTCCAGCTGTGCGACAGAGCGAGACTCCATTTAAAAAAAAAGCTAGGCCGGGCGCGGTGGCTCACGCCTGTAATCCCAGCACTTTGGGAGGCCGAGACGGGCGGATCACGAGGTCAGGAGATCGAGACCATCCTGGCTAACACAGTGAAACCCCATCTCTACTAAAAATGCAAAAAAATTAGCCGGGCGTAGTGGCGGGTGCCTGCAGTCCCAGCTACTCGGGAGGCTGAGGCAGGAGAATGGCGTGAACCTGGGAGGTGGAGCTTGCAGTGAGCCGAGATTGTGCCACTGCACTCCAGCCTGGGCGACTGAGTGAGACTCCGTCTCAAAAAAAAAAAAAAAAAGTTAGTAAAAATATCCTCCCCTTCAAAGGTTTTGCTATATTCTGTTTCCATCACTTCCGCTCATATACTTCAGCAAATATATTCCTTATATAAATATTTAGCTATTTACTAGTTTTTGAATTTTTATTGAGATATAATTCAGTATCATATACTTAACTTTTTTATTTTTTATTTTATTTACTTATTTATTTATTTATTTTTGAGACGGAGTCTCGCTCCGTCGCCCAGGCCGGAGTCCAGTGGCACGATCTCGGCTCACTGCAAGCTCCGCCTCCTGGGTTCACGCCATTTTCCAGCGTCAGCCTCCCGAATAGCTAGGAATACAGGCGCCCACCACCACGCCCGGCTAATTTTTTGTGTTTTTAGTAGAGACAGGGTTTCACGGTGTTAGCCAGGATGGTCTCGATCTCCTGACCTCGTGATCTGCCCGCCTCGGCCTTCCAAAGTGCTGGGATTACAGGCGTGAGCCACCGCGCCCGGACTTTATTTTTATTTTTTAGACAGGGTCTCACTTTGTCACCCAGGCTGGAGTACGGTGGCATGATCTGGTCTCACTGCAGCCTCAACTTCCTGTGCTAAAGCAACCCTCCTAACTCAGCCTCCCAAGTAGCTGGGACCACAGGCATTCACCACCAAGCCCAGTTATTTTTTTTTTAATTTTTAATTTTTTTATTTTTTGTAGAGACAGGGTTTCACCATGCTACCCAGGCTGGTCTTGAACTCCTGAGTTCAAGTGATCTGCCTGCCTCAGCCTCCCAAAGTGCTGGGATGACAGGTGTGAGCCACTGCACCTGGCCCCTATTTCACTTATTTAAAATACACAACTCGATAGATTTTAGTACATTCACAGAGTTATGCAATCATAACCACAATGTATTTTAATTTTTCATTATATATCTAATTGACATAAAATTTTACATATTTATCATCTATGACATGATATTTTGAAGTCCATATACATCTGTTACCTCACATAGCATTTGTGTGGTGAGAACACTTAACACTCACTCTTTGCATTTTTTAAGAATACAGTATATCTTCATTAACTATAGCAATCATGCTACAAATAGATCTCTTAAACTTATTCCCCCTAATTGTAATTATGTATTCTTTGACCAATATCCTCCCATCCCCTCTCCCGCTTAATCACTCCAGCCTCTAGGAACCACCATTCTACTCACCACATATATGAGTGAAAGCATGTGGTATTTGTCTTCCTGTGCCTGGCTTGTTTCACTTAATATCCTCCAGGTTCATCCATGTTGATGCAAATGGCAGGATTTCCTTCTTTTCAATGAATGAATAGTATTCCACTGTGTATATACCATATTTTCCTTATTCATTTATCTGTTGATGGACAGTTGGGTTGATTCCATATCTTGGCTACTGTAAATAATGCTGCAATAAACATGGGAGTGAAAATACCTTTTGTACATACTGATTTCATTTTGTTTTGATATATAACCAGTAGTAACATCATATAGTAGCTCTTTTTTTAACATTTTTAGGAACCTCCATAAAATTTTCCATAATGGTTGTACTAATTTATATTTCCACTAACAGTGTGCAAGAGTTTCTTTTTCCTTACATGCTTGCCAACACTTGTTATCTTTTGTCTTTTTGACAATAGCTTGTCTTCATTTGCTTGATGTTGCTATAACTAAATATTTGAGAAAAGAAATTTATAAAAAATAAAGGTTTCTTTACCTCATGATTCTGGAGGCTGGGAAGTCCAAGATTGACAGGCTGCATCTGGTGAGAACATTCTTGCCAGGGGGAACTCTGCAGAGTCCCTGATGGTGCAGGAAATCATATGACAAGAGGGCTAACCATGCTAGCTCAGGTGTCACTTTCTCCACTTATAAACCCACTAATGCTCCACCCAAACACCATAGTCAGATTTCCCACCCTCTTAATACTGTTAAAATTAGTGTGAAATTTCAATACGAATTTCAGAAGGCGCAAACAGCCAAAATGTGGCATAGCCATTCTAATGGGAGTGAGGTGACATCTTATTGTGGTTTTGATTTGCATTTTACTGATGATTAGTTTTCTTGAGTATTTTTTCATATACTTGTTGGACATTTGTATGTCTTCTGTTGAGAAATGTCTATTCAGTCCTTCTATTTGTTAATCAGGTTTTCTTGTTACTGAGTTGTTTGAGTTCCTTATATATTTTAAATATTAATCCCTTATATGTATAGATTGCAAATATTTTCTCCTATTCTGTAGGTTGTCTCTTCACTCTGTTGATTGTTTCCTTTGCTGTGCTGGAGCTTTTTAGTTTGATGCAATTCCATTTGACTGTTTTTGTTTTTGCTATCTGTGCTTTTGAGATTTTATCTAAAAAATCATTCTCCAGACCAATGTCATGGAGATTTTTCTCAATGTTAAATTCTAGAAGATTCATGGTTTCAGTTAGTAGTTTTGGGTCTTACATTTAAGTGTTTAATCCATCTTGAGATGCTTTCTGTATATGGTGAGAGATAAGAATCTAATTTTGCAGGTGGATATCTGGTTTTTATGTCACTATACATTAAAAAGCCCCCTTTCCCCATTTTGTGTTTCTGGCACCTTTGTGAAAAATTTGTTTGCTCTAAATGCACAAATTTATTTCTGTGAAGAATGTCATAATTGTCTTGATAGAAATTGCATTAAATCTAGATATTACTTTGTGTAGTATGGACATTTTAACAGTATTAATTCTTCTACTTTATGAACACAGGATAGCTTTCCATTTATTTGTGTCTTCTTTGATTACTTTTCAAAATTTATTATTATTATTTCACTAGTTTTGAGGAACAGGTGGTATTTAGTTACATGGATAAGTTATTTAGGTGAGGTTTCTGATATTTTGGTGCACCCATCACCTGATTAGTGTACATTGCACCCAATGTGTAGTATTTTATTCCTCACTCCCTCCAACCCTTCACCCCAAGTCTCCAGAGTCCATTATGTCATTCTTATGTCTTTGCATCCTCATAGCTTAACTCCCACATACAAGTGAGAAGATATGATGTTTATTTTTCCATTCATAAGTTACTTCACTTAGAATAATGATCTCCAATTCCATCAGGTTGCTGTGAATGCCATCATTTTATTCCTTTGTATGGCTGAGTAGTATTCCATAGTATAACACATTTAGGCCAAGCACAGTAGCTCATGCTTGCAATCCCAGCACTTTGGGAGGCCAAGGCAGGTGGATTGCTTGAAGTCAGGAGTTAGAGACCACCCTGGGCAACATGGAGAAACCCTGTCTCTACTAAAAAATACAAACATTAGCTGGGCATGGTGGCATGCACCTGTAATCCTAGCAACTTGAGTGGCTGAGGCACAAGAATCACTTGAAATAAGGAAGTGGAGGTTTCAGGGAGTCAAGATCACACAACTGCACTCCAGCCTGGGTGACAGAGTGAGACTCTCTCTATCTATATATCTATATCTTTATATATCTATATCTATATAGATATATATGACAGAATGAGACTCTATATATCTATATAGATATAGATACACACACACACACACACACACACACACACACACATATATATATATATAAAATCTTGCATATCACATTACTTTATCCACTCATTGGTTGATGGGCATTTAGGCTGGTTTTATATTTTTGCAATTGCAAATTGTACTGCTTTAAACATTTGTGTGCAAGTGTCTTTTTCATATAATGACTTATTTTTCTCTGGGTAGATACCCAGTAGTGAGATTGCTGGATCAAATGGTAGTTCTACTTTTAGTTCTTTAAGGAATTTCCATACTGTTTTCCATAGTGGTTGTACTAGTTTACATTCTCACAAGCAGTTCCCTTTCCACCATATCCACACCAATATCTAAATTTTTTTTTTATTTTTTACTTACAGTCATTCTTGCACAAGTACAGTGGTATTGCATTGTGGTTTGGATTTGCATTTCCCAGATAATTAGTAATGTTGAGCATTTTTTATATGTTTTTTGGCCACTTGTATATCTTCTTTTGATAATTGTCTATTCATGTCCTTAGCCAACTTTTTTATGGAATTAATTAGGGTTTTTTTTTTTTTTCTTTACTGACTTGTTTGAGTTCCTTGTAGATTCTGGGTATTAGTCCTTTGTCAGATGCATAGTTTGCAAATATTTTCTCCCACTCTGTGGGTTGTCTGTTTATTCTGCTAATTATTTCTTTTGCTGTGCAGAAGCTCTTTAGTTTAATTAGGTCCTATCTATTTATTTTTGTTTTTGTTGCATTTGCTTTTGGGTTTTTGGTCATGAACTCTTTGCCTAGGCCAATGACTAGCATTATTTTTACAATGTTATCTTCTAGAATTTTTATGGTTTGAGGTCTTAGATTTAAGTCTTTGATCCATCTTGATTTGTTTTTTGTATAAGGTGAGAGATGAGCCTACAGTTTCATTCTTCTCCATGTGGCTTGCCAGTTATCCCAGCACCATTTGTTGAATAGGATATCTTTTCCCCACTTTACGTTTTGTTTGCTTTGTCAAAGATCAGTTGGCTGTAAATATTTGGCTTTATTTTCGGATTCACTGTTCTATTGGTCTGCATGCCGGTTTTTATACCACTATCATACTACATTACAAGGTAACTATAGCCTCATAACGTAGTTTGAACTTGGTTAATGTGATGTCTTCAGATTTGTTCTTTTTGCTTAGTCTTGCTTTGGCTATGTGGGCTCTTTTCTGGTTCCATATACATTTTAGGATTTTTTTTCTAGTACTATGAAGAATTATGATGGTATTTTGATGGGGATTGCATTGAATTTATAGATTTCTTTTGGCAGTATGGTCGTTTTAACAATATCGATTCTACCCATCCATGAGCATGGGATGTGTTTCCATTTGTTTCTGTCATCTATGATTTCTTTCAGCATTCTTTTGTAGTTTTCCTTATAGAGACCTTTCACCTCTTTGGTAGGTATGTTCCTAAGTTTTAATTTTTCTAACAGCTGTTATAAAAGGGTTTGAGTTCTCGATTTGACACTCAGCTTGGTCACTATTAGTATATAGCAATGCTACTGATTTGTGTACATTGATTTTGTATCCTGAAACTTTGCTGAATTCATTTATCAGATCTAAGAACTTTTTGGATGAGTCTTTAGGGTTTTCTATTTATATGATCATATCATTGGCAAACAGTGACAGCTTGATGTCCTCATTACCAATTTGGATGCCTTTTATTTCTTTCTCTTTTCAGATTGCTCTGGCTAGGAATTCTAGTACTATGTTGAATAGAAGTGATGTAAGTGGGCATCCTTGTCTTATTCCAGGTCTCAGGGGAATGTTTTCAACTTTTATCTCTTCAGTATAATATTGGCTGTGTGTTTTCCGTAGATCACTTTTATTACCTTAAGGTATGTCCCCTCTATACCATTTTTGCTGAGAGTTTTAATCATAAACGAATGCTGGATTTTGTTAAATGCTTTTTTCTGCATCTATTGAGATGATCATGATTTTTGTTTTTACTTCTATTTATGTGGTGTATCACATGTATTGACTTGCATATGTTACACTCACTCTGCATCCCTGGCATAAAACCCACTTGATCATGGTGTATTATCTCTTTGATATGCATTGAATTCGGTTAGCTAATATTTTGTTGAGAATTTTTGCATCTCTGTTCATCAGGGACATTTGTTCTGTAGTTTTCCTTTTTGTTATGTCCTTTCCTGGTTTTTGTATTAGGGTAATGACTGGCTTCATAGAATGTTTTAAGTAGGATTTCCTCTATCTTTTGAAATAGTTTCTGTAGGATTGGTAGTAATTCTTATTTGAATATCTGATAGAATTCAGCTGTGAATCCATCTGGTCCTGGACTTTTTTTGTTGGCAATTTTTATTACTGTTTCAATGTCGTGAATTGTTATTGGTCTGTTCAGAGTTTCTATTTCTTCCTGGCTTTATTTAGGAGGGTTGTATATTTTCAAGAATGTATCCATCTCCTCTAGGTTTTCAAGTTTGTGCATATAAAGGTGTTCATAGTAGTCTTGAATAATATTTCATATTTCTGTGGTATCAGTTGTAATATCTCCCATTCGTTCCTAATTAAGGTTATTTAGACCTTCTCGCTTCTTTTCTTGGTTAATCTCACTAATTGTCTATCAATTTTGCTTATCATTTCAAAAAACCAGCTTTTTTATCTTTTGTATAATTATATTTCAATTTAATTTAGTTCTGTTCTTATCTTTATTATTTTTTTTTCTTCTGCTAGGTTTGGCTTTGGTTTGTTCTTGTTCCTCTAGTTCTTTGAGGTGTTAGCTTAGACTGTCTGTTTGTACCCTTTCAGACTTTTTGATGTAGGCACTTAATGCTATGAGCATTTCTCTTATCATCACTTTTGCTGTATCCCAGAGGTTTTAACAGGTTTTGTCACTATTATCATTCAGTTCAAATAATTTTTTAATTCCCATTTTGATAACATAGTTGACCCAAGAATTATTTAGGAGCAGATTATTTAATTTCCACGTATTTGTATAGTTCTGAGGGTTCCTTTTGGAGTTTATTTTCAATTTTATTCCACCATGGTCTAAGAAGATACTTAATATAATTTCAATTTTCTGGCTGGGCGTGGTGGCTCACACCTGTAATCCCAGCATTTTGGGAGGTTGAAGCAGGTGGATCACCTGAGGTCACGAATTTGAGACCAGCCTGGCCAACATGGTGAAACCCCATCTCTACTAAAAATACAAAAATTAGCTGGGTGTGGTGGCACACACCTGTAATCCCAGCTACTCAGGAGGTTAAGCCAGGAGAATTGCTTGAACTCAGGAAGTGGAGGTTGTGGTGAGCCGAGATTGTGCCACTGCACTTCAGCCTGGGCAACAGAGGGAGATTTTGTCTCAATAAAAAGAAATAAAATAAAATAAAATAAAATAAAATAAAATAAAACAAATAATTTAGATTTTTAACAATGTACTGAGTCTTAGTGGCCTATCATATGGTCTATCTTGGAGAAAGTTTCATGTGCTGTTGTAAAGAGTGTATACTTTTCAGTTCTTTGGTAGAATGTTTTGTAAATATCTGTTAAGTTCATTTGTTCTAGGGTATAGTTTAAGTCCATTGTTTCTTTGTTCACTTTCTGTCTTGATGACCTGTCTAGTGCTTTCAGTGGAATATTAAAGTCCTCCACTATTTTTGTGTTGCTGTATATCTCATTAATTTGTCTACTAGTAATTGTTATATAAATTTGGGAGCTCCCACGTTAGGTGCATATATATTCAGGATTGTGATATTTTCCTGTTGTACTGATCCTTTTATCATGATATAGTGTCCCTCATTGTCTTTTTTAACTGTTGTTGCTTTAAACTCTGTTTTTTCTAATATAAGAACAGCTATTCCTTCTCAATTTTCTTCATTTGCATGGAATATCTTTTTCCACTCCTTTACCTTAGGTTTATGTGAGTCCTTATGTGTCAGGCGAGTCTCTTAAAGATAGCAGACACTTGATTGGTGAATTTTTATTCATTCTGCCATTCTGTATCTTTTAAGTGAAGCATTTAGATAATTTACATTCAATGTTAGTATTCAGATATAAGATACTGTTTTATTCATCATGCTAGTTGTTGCCTGAATATCTTGTTTTTTTTTCCACTGTGTTATTGTTTTATATGTTCTGTGAGATTTATGCTTTAAGGGGGTTCTATTTTGATGGATTTTGAGGTTTTTTTCAAGATTTAGGATTCCTTTTAGCATTTCTTTTAGTACTGGCTTGGTAATGGCCAGTTCTCTCAGCATTTGTTTGTCTGAAAAAGACTTCATCTCTCCTTCATTTATGAAGCTTAGTTTTGATGGATACAAAACTTGAGGCTGATCATTATTTTAAGGAGGCTAAAGATAGGACCCCAAACTTTTCTGGCTTAAAGAGTTTCTGCTGAGAAATCTGCTCTTAATCTGAGAAGTTTTCCTTCATAAGTTACCTGATGCTATTGCATCACAGCTCTTAAGATTCTTTCCTTCACCTTGACTTTAGATAATATGATGACTATGTGCATAGGTGATGATCTTTTTGCAATGAGTTTCCTGGGTGTTCTTTGAGCTTCTTGTATTTGGATGTCTAGATTTCTAGCAACACTAGGGAAGTTTTCCTCAATTATTCCCTCAAATATGTTTTCCTAACTTTTAGATTTATTCTCTTCTTCAAGAACACCAGTTATTCTTATGTTTGGTCATTTAACATAATACCAAATGTCTTGGAGGCTTTGCTTATTTTTTTAGTCTTCTTTTTTTGTTCTGTTTTGTTGGATTTGGTTAATTTAAAAACCTTGTCTTTGAGCTCTGAAGTTCTTTTTTTCTACTTGTTTGATTCTATTGTTGAAATTTTTCAGTGTATTTCACATTTTTCTCAGTGTGTCTTTTATTTCCAGAAGTTGTGATTGTCTTTTCTTTATGAGATCTATTTCTCTGGAGACTTTTTCATCCATATTCTTTGTTATTTTTAAAATTTCATTAAATTGGTTTTCATCCTTCTCTGGTGCCTCCTTGAGTATCCTGATAATCCATCTTTTGAATTCTTTATCTGGCAATTCAGAGATTTCTTCTTGGTTTGAATCCACTGCAGGAGAGCTAATGTGATCTTTTGGGGGTGTTATAGAACCTTGTTTGGTCATTACTTTTCTGGTTCCTTCTCATTTGGGCAGACTGTTTCAGTGGAAATATCTGGAACTCAAGGGCTGCTGTTCAGATTCTTTTGTCCCATGAGGTGATCCCTCTATGTGGTACTCTCCCCATTCCTTTATGGATAGAACTTCCTGAGAGCCAGACTGCCATGAGTGTTATTGCTCTTCTGGATCTAGCCACCTAGTGGGGCTACCAGTCTCCAGACTGTTGCTGGGGAATGTTTGCAAAGAGACCTGTGATGTGATCCATCTTTAGGTCTCCTAGCCATGGATACCAGCACTTGTTCCAGTGAACGTGGCAGTGGAGTTAAGTCAATTCTGTGGGAGTCCTTGGTTGTAGTTTTGTTTAGTGTCTGGTTTTCTCAAATGCTGGTTATGTTAGCAGTGAAGTTGTCATGTGCAACACTCTGTCTACCCAGGGTGTTGCAGGTGGTGGAATTAGTTGTTTTATCCTTCTTTGGAGCAGGTTTCTTCTGTTATGAGTTGTTGTAATGGCTTGAGTTGTTTGGCTTTTAGCCAGGAGGTGGTGCTTTCAAGGGAGTATTAGCTGCAGGAGTAGAAGAGGAATATAATCTTGTCCTACACTGGCCTGAATGAATACTTGGGTTTCTCAGGTGATGGGCAGGGCCATAGCACTCCCAAGAGAGTATGTTTTTGTCTTCAGGGGTTTTGTCTGTCTTGCAACATTCACAGCGGAAAGCCTCTTCTTTCAAAGGGTCTGTGAATTTTTTTTTTTTTTTGTTATGCTTCTGCAGTGGTTCTTAGAGCAAAAGTTCACAGTGTGAGTGTCCAGATGCTGTTCTGTCCATCTAAGCAGGAGCTGCATGTTAGCCCTGTCTCCCATCTGCCATTTTTTTCTCCTCTCCTCAATTACTTTTATCAGTGTGTTATAGTTTTCAGCATAGAGATCTTTTACCTCCTCGGTTAACTTTATTCCTACGGATTTTTATTTGTGGCTATTATAAATGAGATTGTTTTATTTCTTTTTCAGATAGTTCACTGTCTTATTTCTTTCTCTTTCATAATTGACCTGGATAGGACTTAGGACTATGTTAAATTGAAGTGGCAAAGGTAGGTATTCTTGTCTTGTTCCAGATATCAGAGAAAAAAGCTTTCAGTTTTTCCCTGTGGAATATGAGGTTAGCAGTAGATTTGTCATAGGTGGCATCTATTTTGTTAAGATACATATTTTCTTTTTTATTTTATTTTTTTCATTGAGACAGGGTCTCACTCTGTCATCCAGGCTGGAGTGCAGTGGCACGATCTTGGCTCACTACAAACTCCACCTCCTGGGTGCAAGCAATTCTCCTGTCTCAGACTCCCAAGTAGTTGGGATTACAGGTGTGCACCATCACACCCGGCTATTTTTTGTATTTTTAGTACAGACGGGGTTTCACCATGTTGGCCAGGTTGGTCTAGAACTCCTGACCTCAAGTGATCTGCCTGCCTCAGCCACCCAAAGTGCTGGAATTACAGGTGTGAGCCACCATGCCTGGCTAAGATACATATTTTCTATGCCTAATTTGTTGAGAGTTTTTATCATGAAAAGATGTTGGATTTTTTTCAAATTTTTTTTGCATGTATTGAAATGATCATAACATTTTTACACTTTATTCTGTTACTATGATATATTATGTATATTGATTTGCATATGTTGACCCCACCCTGCATCCCTGGGATGAAATCTCATTTGATCATGATGAATGATTTTTGTAATATGTTACTGAATTCAGTTTGCTCATAATTTTTTGAAAATTTCTACATCTATGTTCATGAATGATACTGACCTACAGTTTTCCTTTTTTGTCTGGTTTTGATATTATGGTAAGGCTGGCTTCATAGAATGAGTTTGGAAGTATTTCCTCCTCTTCAATTTTTTGGAAGAGTTTGAAAAGTATTGGTACTAGTTCTTTAAATCTTTGGTAGAATTCAACAGTGAAGCCATCAGCCCTGTGCTTTCCTTTAATGAGAGATTTTTCATTACTGATTCAATCTTCTTACTTATTATTGCTCTGTTTAGGTTTTCTATTTTTCATAATTCAGTCTTGGTAGGATATGTGTCAAATAAATTATTCATTTATTCTAAGTTATCAAATGTTGGCATGTTATTGTTCATACTAGTCTCTTACAACCCTTTGCATTTCTGTGATATCAGCTTTAATATCTCTTTGTTCATCTCTTATTTTATTTATTTGAGCCTCCTCTCTTTTTTTCTTAGTATGGTTAAAGGTTTGTTGATTTTGTCTATCTTTTCAAAAAAACCAACTCTTCATTTTATTGATCTTTCATATTGTTTTTACAGATTCTGTTTTATTTATCTCTGCTTCAATCTTTATTATTTCTTTTTTCCTACTAATTTTAGGTTTAGTTTGTTCTTGTTTTTCTTATTCCCTGTGATGCAACATTAGGTTGTTTATTTGAGATTCTTCTTCTTCTTCTTTTTTGATATAGGTGTGTATTGCTATTAACTTCCTTCTTAGAATTGCTTTTGCTGTATCTCATAGGTTTTAGTACATTGTGTTTCCATTTTCATGGAATAATGACCTTAAGGGGTAATGCAGGTAATATCTGAAAAATAATTTTAATTTCCCTTTAAACTTCTTTATTGATCCATTGGTTATTCAGGAGCATGTTTTTTAATATACATGTATTTATGTATTTTCTGCAGTTCCTTCTGTTATTGAATCTAGTTTTATACTATTTTTGTCAAAAAGATATTTGAGGCCAGGGAGTGTAGCTCATGCCCGTAATGCCAGCACTTTGGGAGGCTGAGGTGGGAGGGCTGATTGAGCTTAGGAGGTCAAGATCAGCCAGGACAACATAGTGAGATCTTGTCTCCACAAAAAAAAAAAAAAAAAATTAAAAAGTTAGGCAGGCATGGTGGTATATACCTGTAGTCCCAGCAGAGGTGGGAGGATCACTTAAGCCTAGGAGGTGGAGTGTGCAGTAAGACATAATCACAATACTGCACTCCAACCTTGGCAACAGAGTGAGATCCTGTCTCAAAAAAATAAAACAAATACATGATATGATTTCAATTTTCTTAAATTTGTTAAGACTTGTTTTGTGGACTAAAATATATATTTTTTCCCAGAGTGTTCCATGTGCAGTTGAGAAGAATGTGTATTCTACAGCTGTTGCATGGAATATTCTATGAATGTCTGTTAGGTACATTTGTTCTAGAGTACAGTTTAAATCTGATGTTTCTTTGTTGACTTTCTGTCTGGATGATCTTTCCACTGTTGAAAGTGATGAGTTGCAGTCCCATAATATTATTATATTGCAGTCTATCTCTCCCTTCAGATTGATTAATATTTGCACATGTGTGCAGATGCTTCAATGCTGAGTGCATATATATTTACAGTAGTTATATCCTCTTGCTAAATCAACCATTTTATCATTATATAATATTTTTTGTCTCTTTTTACAGTTGTAGTTGGCCATCAGTGATGCAGGCTAAAAGTTGAGTTCATTTTGCAGGGGCTAAGTGTTTTCCTCTGGCAACAAGGCAGGTTTGTAGCCTCAGTCTAAGGCACCAGTCTGGAGTCAGGTACCATGGGGTGTGCCCAGTGCTGGGTTCTACTGTGGCAGGCCCGGTATTGGGATCTAAGGCAAAGTTTCTCTCTTTTCCCAAAAAGGATGGTATGTGTCCCCACTCTGTGTTGCATGAAGTTGTGGGAGAGGTAATGCAGGTAATGTCACACTGTTCTTTCTACCCTCTCCAATGCGTCTTTTTTTTATTATGCTATAACCAACTACTGTGATCTCTCATCTGGTTCTCTTAGATTTTGTGAAGGTATTTTCATGTATGGAGAATTGTTCAAATTATTGTTTCTGCAGGGAGATGACTGCTGAAGAGTCCTATCCCACCATCTTGCTCCAGTTTCTCTATGTCTTACCACAGTCAATTTTAGAACATTTCATCACATCCCCCCCAAAACCCACATCAATTGGCAATCACCCCCATTTTATCCCAAGCCTTTCAGTCCTAGGCAACCAATAATCTACTTTCTATCTTAATAATTATTCTAATCTGGACATGTCATATGTGGTGTTTTGTGAATGAATTCTTTTAGTATAGTATTTTCAAAGTTCATTCATGTTTATACTATGTATCAGTACTTCTTCTCTTTAAATTCTGGAATAATATTTTATTGTGTGGATATGCTATATTTTGTTTACCTATTCATCAGTCGATGGACATTTAAGTTGTCTCCACTTTCTTGCTATTATGAAAATTCATGTACAATTTTTGAGATGGATATGTGTTTTTAATTCTCCTCAGTATATATCCAGAAGTGGAATTGTTGGGTAACTCTGTTTAGATAATTGAGGAACTGCCAAATAATGTTCCAAAGCAGTATATGAAGGTTCCAAATTACATTCCTATCGGTAGCATATGAAGGTTCCAATTTTGCCACATCTGTGTCAACATTCGTTATCTATTTGATAACAGTCATTATACTGTGTATGAAGTAATTTTGATGTGTATTTCTCTTTTGGCTAAAGAGGCTGAGGATCTTTTCATGTAATTATTCAATTTTTTTTGTCTATTTTCTAGTTGGGTTATTTACCTTTTTATTTTTAATTTCTAAGAGATTTTTACATATTGAAGCTCCTTATGTCAGATACATAATTAGCAAATAATTTTCCCATTATGTAGATTTTCTTTCTGTTTTCTTGATAGTGCCTTTTGAGGCACAAAAGTATTTTATTTTGATGAAGTCCAATTTATATACATATATATATATATATATATATATACACATTTTTTTAACTTGAGCTTTTGGCATCATACTTAAGAAACCATTTTCAATTCCGAGATTATGAAGATGTATGTCTATGCTTTCTTCTAATGGTTTCATAGTTTTAGCTCTTACGTTTATGTCTTTGATCCAGTTTGAGTTCATTTTGTATATGGTGTGAAGTAGAGCTCCAAATTCATACTTTTTCATGTGGATATCCAGTTGTTTTAGCACCATTTGTTGAAGAGACTATTCCTTATTCCTTCCCCCATTAAATTCTTTTGACATTCTTGTCAAAAGTCAATTTACTAGAAATGCGAAGGTGTACTTCTATACCCCCAATTATTTTCTATTGATCTATGTCTATCCTTATGCCAATACTTCACTGTCTTAAATACTAAAACATTGTAGTAAGTTTTGATATCAAGAAGTGAGTCCTCCAACTTTGTTCTTTTTCAAGTCTCTTTTGACTATTCTGGTACTTTTCATTTCCAAAATAGTTTTAGGATCAGTTTGCCAGTTTCTGGGGGGGGAAAAACCACCTGGAATTTTTACACACATTGTATCATTAATACGTCTGTAAATTAATGCAATGCCTGTGAAAGTATTGCAGTATTAACAATAGTGAGTCTTCTGATACATAAACATAGGCTCCCTTTCCATTTGTTTAGGTCTTCTTTAACTGCTTTTAACAGGTTTTTGTGGTTTTTAGTGTAGACGCCTTGAATGGCCTTGGTTAAATTTATTCTCAACTATTTGATTCTGTTTGGTGCTACTGTGAATGGAATTGCTTTCTTAATTTTAGTTTCAGAGTGTTCACTGAAAGTATATAAAAATACAACTGATTTTGTACATTGATTTTTTTTATCCTGAAGATTTACATAACTCATTTATTCGTTATAATAGATTTTAATGGATCATTTAGGATGTTCTACATAAAAAATCATGGCATCTATAAATAGAGTTTTTATCTTCCCTTTCTAAACAGGATGTCTTTCATTTCATTTTTCTTGCCTAATTGCCCTTGCTGGAACCTGCCATAAAATGTTGAACAGAAGTGATGAAAAGAGACATCCTTTTTGAGCTTAATCCCTAAGATCAGTTAAGAATAAGCTCAGTCTTTACCCCATGAAGTATTATGTTAGCTGTGGGGTATTTTATAGATGCCTTTTGTCAAGTTGAAGTAGTTCCCTTTTATTCCTAGTTTATTCAGTGTGTGTGTGTGTGTGTGTGTGTATGTGTGTGTGTGTTTATCATGAAGGAGTGTTGGGTTTTGTCAGATGCTTTTTCTGCAACTTTAAGATGGTCAAGGGGTCAAGATGGCCAAATAGGAACAGCTTCGGTCTGCAGCTCCCAGCAAGACCAACACAGAAGGCGAGTGTTTCTGCATTTCCAACTGAGGTACCCATTTCATCTCATTGGGACTGGTTAGGTAGTGGGTCCAACTCATGGAGGGCAAGCAGAAACAGGGTGGGGCATCGCTTCACCCAGGAAGTGCAACGAGCCAGGGACCTCCCTCTCCCCACCCGAGGGAAGCCACGAGGAACTGTGCTACCCAGCCCAGATACTATGCTTTTTTCACAGTTTTTGCAATCTGCAGATCAGGAGATTCCCCTGTGGGCCTAACCACCAGGGCCCTAGGTTTCAAGCAAAAAACTGGGCGGCTGTTTGGGCAGACACCAAGCTAGCTGCAGGAGTTTTTTTGTTTTTTGTACGCTAGTGGCGCCTGGAACCCCAGTGACACAGAAACACTTACTCCCCTGGAAATGGGGCTGAAGCCAGGGAGCCAAGTGGTCTCGCTCAGTGGGTCCTACTTTCCCAGAACCCAGCAAGCTAAGAACCACTGGCTTGAAATTCTCACTCCCAGCACAGCAGTCTGAAGTCTGAGATGATCAAGGTTGGTGGTGGGGTCGGAGGGGGGGGTGGTAGGGTCTGTGTCAGCCATTACTTAGGCTTTAGTAGGCAGTTTTTCCCTGACAGTGCTAAGGAGGCTGGGAGGTCTGGGCTGGGTGCAGCAAAGCGGCTGTGGCCAGACTGCTTCTCTAGATTCCTCCTCACTGGACAGGTCATCTCTGAAGAAAAGGTAACACCCCCAGTCAGAGGCTTACAAACAAAACCCCCATCTCCCTGGGACAGAGCACCTGTGGGAAGGGGTGGCCGTGGGCGCAGCTTCAGTGGATTTTATCATGCCCGCCAGCTGGCTCTTAAGAGAGCAGCTGATCCTGACAAGAGGATTCTCCCAGCACAGCGCACCAGCTCTGATAAGGGACAGATTGCCTCCTCAAGTGGTTCCCTGACCCCCATGCCTCCTAAGTGGGAGACACCTCCCAGCAAGAGCCAACAGACACCTCATACAGGAGAGCTCCAGCTGGCATCCGGTGGGTGCCCCTCTGGGAGGAATCTTCCAGAGGAAGAAACAGGCAGCGATCTTTGCTGTTCTGCAGCCTCTGCTGGTGATACCCAGGCAAACAGGGTCTGGAGTGGACCTCCAGCAAACTCCAGCAGACCTGCAGAAGAGGGGCCTGACTGTTAGAAGACAAACTAACAAACAGAAAGCAACAACATCAATATCAACATCAAGGACCCCCCACCAAAACCCCATCCAAAGGTCATCAGCCTTAAAGATCAAAAGTAGATAAATCCACAAAGATGAGGAAAAACCAGCACAAAAATACTGAAAATTCCGAAAACCAGAATGGCTCTTCTCCTCCAAATTATCATACTCCTCTCCAGCAAGGGCACAAACTGGATGAAGAATGAGACTGGTGAATTGACAGAGTAAGCTTCAGAAGGTGGATAATAACAAACTCCTCTGAGCTACAGGAGCATGTTCTAACCCAATACAAGGAAGTTAAGAACATTGATAAAAGGATATGGGAACTACTAACTACTATAACTACTTTAGAGAGGAACATAAACCTGATGGAGCTGAAAAACACAGCACGAGAACTTCATGAAGCATACACAAGTATCAATAGTTGAATCGATCAAGTGGAAGAAAGGCTATCAGAGACTGAAGATCAACTTACTGAAATAAGGCATGAAGATAAGATTAGAGAAAAAGGAATGAAAAGTGCAAACAAAGCCTCCAAGAAATACGGAACTATGTGAAAAGACCAAACCTACGATTGATTGGGGTCCCAGAAAGTGACGGGGAGAATGGAACCAAGTTGGGAAACACACTTCAGGATATTATCCCAGAGAACTTCCCCACCCTAGCAAGACAGGCCAACATTCAAATTCAGGAAATACAGAGAACACCAATAAGATACTCCTCGAGAAGAACAACCCCAAGACACATAATCATCAGATTCTCCAAGATTGAAACAAAGGAGAAAATGTTAAGGGCAGCCAGAAAGAAAGGTCAGGTTACCTACAAAGGGAAGCCCATCAGACTAAAAGCAGATCTCTCTGCAGAAACCCTACATCCAGAAGGGGGGGGTGCAATATTCAACATCCTTAAAGAAAAGAATTTTCAACCCAGAATTTCATATCCAGCAAAATTAAGCTTCATAGGCGAAGGGGAAATAAAATCCTTCCCAGGCAAGCAAATGCTGAGGGATTTTATCACCTCCAGGCCGGCCTTACAAGAACTCCTGAAGGAAGCACTAAACATGGAAAGGAAAAACCAGTAACAGCCACTGCAAAAACAGGGCAAATTATAATGACCAATGACACTATGAAGAAACTGCATCAACTAATGTGCAAAATAACCAGCTAACATCATGATGACAGCATCAAATTCACACATAACAATATTAACCTTAAATGTAAATGGCTAAATGCCCTAATTAAAAGACACAGACTGGCAAATTGGATAAAGAGTCAAGATCCATCAGTGTGCTGTATTCAGTAGACGCATCTTACGTGAAAAGACACACATAGGATCAAAATAAAAGGATGAAGGAATATTTACCAAGCAAATGGAAAACAAAAAAAGCAGGGGTTGCAATCCTAGTCTCGGATAAAACAGACTTTAAACCAACAAAGATCAAAAAAGACGAAGGGCATTACATAATGGTAAAGGGATCAATGCAAAGAGAAAAGCTAACTATCCTAAATAAATATGCACCCAATACAGGAGCACCCAAATTCATAAAGCAAGTTATTAGAGACCTACAGAGACTGAGACTCCCACACAATAATAGTGGGAGGCTTTAACACCACACTGTCATTATTAGACAGATCAACAAGACAGAAAATTAACAAGGATATTCAGGACTTGAACTCAGCTCTGGACAAAGCAGACATAATAGACATCTACAGAACTCTCCACCCCAAATCAACAGAATATACATTCTTCTCAGTGCCACATAGCACGTATTCTAAAATTGGCCACATAATTGGAAGAAAAACACTCCTCAGCAAACAGAAAAGAACTGAAATCATAACAAACAGTCTCTCAGACTACAGTGCAAGCAAATTAGAACTCGGGATTAAGAAACTCACTCAAAACCACACAACTACATGGAAATTGAACAATTTGCTTCTGAATGATTACTAGGTAAATAACAAAATTAACACAGAAATAAGTAAGTTCTTTGAAACCAACAAGTACAAAGAGACAACGTACCAGAATCTCTGGGATAAAGCTAAAGCAGTGTTAAGAGGGAAATTTATAGCACTAAACGTCCACAACAGAAAGTAGGAAAGATCTAAAATTGACACCCTAACAGCACAATTAAAAGAACTAGAGAAGCAAAAGCAAACAAATTCAAAAGCTAGCAAGAGACAAGAAATAACTAAGATGAGAGCAGAACTGAAGGAGATAGAGACACAAAAAACCCTTCAAAAAATCAATGAATCCAGGGGCTGGTTTTTTGAAAAGATTAACAAAATAGATGGACTACTAGCTAGACAAATAAGGAAGAAAAAAGAGAAGAATCAAATAGATATAATAAAAAATGAAAAAGGGGATATCACAGAAATACAAACTACCATCAGAGAATACTACAAAACCTCTACACAAATAAACTAGAAAATCTAGAAGAAATGGGCAAATTCCTGGATACATACACCCTCCCAAGACTAAACCAGAAATAAGTTGAATCCCTGAATAGACCGATAACAAGTTCTGAAATTGGGGCAGTAATTAATAGTCTACCAACCAAGAAAACCCAGGACAAGACAGATTCACAGCTGAATTCTACCAGAGGTACAAAGAGGAGCTGGTACCATTCCTTCTGAAACTATTCCAAACAATAGAAAAAGAGGGTCTCCTCCCTAACTCATTTTATGAGGCCAGCTGATACCAAAACCTGGCAGAGACACAACAATAAGAGAACATCTCAGGCCAATATCCCTGATGATTGATGCAAAAATCCTCAATAAAATACTGGCAAACCGAATCCAGCAGCACATCAAAAAGTTTATTCACTACAATCAAGTTGGCTTCATCTCTGGGATGCAAGGCTGGTTCAACATATACAAATCAATAAACATAACCCATCACATAAAGAGAACCAATGACAAAAACCAGGATCATCTCAATAGATGCAGAAAAGGCCTTTGATGAAATTCAACATCCCTTCATGCTAAAAACTCTCAATAAACTAGGTATTGACGGAATGTATCTAAAAATAATAAGAGCTATTTATGACAAATCCAAAGCCACTATCATACCAAATGGGCAAAAGCTGGAAACATTCCCTTTGAAAACTGGCACAAGACAAGGATGCCCTCTCTCACCACTCCTATTCAACATAGTTCTGGCCAGGGCAATAAGGCAAGAGAAAGAAACAAAGAGTATTCAAATAAGAAGAGAGGAATTCAAATTTTCTCTGTTTGCAGATGACATGATTGTGTACTTAGAAAACCCCATCATCTCAATCCACAAACTCCTTAAGCTTATAATCGACTTCAGCACAGTCTCAGGATATAAAATCAATGTGTAACAATCACAAGCACTTCTATACACCAACAATAGACAAGCAGAGAGCCAAATCATGAGCAAACCCCCATTCACAACTGCTACAAAGAGAATAAAATAACTAGGAATACAACTTACAAGGGATGTGAAGGAACACTTCAAGAACTACAAACCACTGCTCAATGAGATAAAGTAGGACACAAACAAATGGAAAAGCATTCCATGCTCATGGATAAGAAGAATCAATATAATGAAAATAGCCATAGTGCGCAATGTAATTTATAGATTCAATGCTATTCCCATCAACCTACCATTGACTTTCTTCACAGAATTAAAAACAACTACTTTAAATTTCATATGGAACCAAAAAAGAGCCTGTAAAGCCAAGGCAATCCTAAGGAAAAACAACAAAGCTGGAGGCATCCTGCTACGTGACTTCAAACTATACTACAAGTCTACAGTAACCAAAACAGCATGGTACTGGTACCAAAACAGATATACAGACCAATGGAACAGAACAGAGACCTCAGAAATAACACCACACATCTACAACCATCTGATCTTCCACAAACCTGACAAAAACAAGCAATGGGGAAAGGATTCCCTATTCAGTAAATTGTGCTGGGAAAATTGGCTAGCCATATGCAGAAAACAGAATCCAGACCCCTTCCTTACACCTTATACAAAAATTAACTCAAGATGGGTTAAAGACTTAAATGTAAAACCCCAAACCATAAAAACCCTAGAAGAAAACCTAGGCAATACCCTTCAGGACATAGGCATGGGCAAAGACTTCATTACTGAAACAACAAAAGCAATGGCAACAAAAGCCAAAATTGACAAATGGGATCTAATTAAACCAAAGAGCTTCTGCACAGCAAAAGAAACTATCATCAGAGTGAACAGACAACCTATAGAATGGGAGAAAATTTTTGCAAGCTACCCATCTGACAATGGTCTAATATCCAGAATCTTCAAGGAACTTAAACAAATTTACAAGAAAAAAAAAACCCATCAAAAAGTGGGTGAAGGATATGAACAGACACTTCTCAAAAGAAGACATTTAGGCAGCCAAGAAACATATGAAAAAAGGCTCATCATCACTGATCATTAGAGAAATGCAAATCAAAACCACAATGAGATACCATCTTACACCAGTTACAATGGTGATTATTAAAAAGTCAGGAAAGAACAGATGCTGGTGAGGCTGTGGAGAAATAGGAATGCTTTTACACTGTTGGTGGGAGTGCTAATTAGTTCAACCATTGTGGAAGACAGTGTGGCTATTCTTCAAGGATCTAGAACCAGAAATACCATTTGACCCAGCAATCCCATTACTGAGTATATACCCAAAGGATTATAAATCATTCTACCATAAAGACACATGCACAAGTATGTTTATTCCACCACTATTTACAATAGCAAAGACTTGGAATCAACCCAAATGTCCATCAATGATAGACTGGATAAAGAAAATGTTCCACATATTCACTATGGAATACTATGCAGCCATGAAAAAGAATGAGTGTATGTCCTTTTCAGGGACAAGGATGATGCTAAAAGCCATCATTCTTAGCAAACTAAAACAGGAACAGAAAATCAAACACTGCATGTTCTCATTCATAAGTGGGAGTTAAACAATGAGAACACATGGACACAGGAGTGGAACATCACACATTGGGGCCTGTCAGGGGGTGGGGTGCAAGGGGAGGAAAAGCATTAGGACAAATACTTAATGCATGCAGGTCTTTAAACCTAGATGATGGGTTGACAGTTGCAGAAACCACCATGGCACCTGTATACCTATGTAACAAACTTGCATGTTCTGCCCATGTATTCCAGAACTTAAAGCAAAATTAAAAAGAAAAAAAAGATGGTCATGTGGGTTTTGTCTTGTATTCTATAAATATTGTATATTACATTAATTGTTTTTCACACATTTTACTTACCTTGCATTCCTTAGATAAATCCCATTTGATAATAGTTTATAATCTTTTTTATATGTTTGAATTTATATTACTGGTATTTTGTCAGATTTCTGCATCTATATTCATAAGAGATAAAAATCTACAGGTTTTTTTTTGGCTGGGAGCGGTGGCTCACGCCTGTAATCATAGCACTTTGTAATCACAGCACAGGCTGAGGCTGGCAGATCATGAGGTCAAGAGTTCAAGACCATCCTGGCCAATCTGATGAAACCCCGTCTCTACTAAAAATACAAAAATTAGCCGGGCGTGGTGGCACACACCTGTAGTCCCAGCTACTTGGGAGGCTGAGGCAGGAGAATCGCTTGAACCCGGGAGGCGGAGGTTGTAGTGAGCCGAGATCGTGTCACTGCACTCCAGCCTGGTGACAGAGTGAGACTCCGTCTAAAAAAAAAAAAGACCTACAGGTTTTTTTTTCTTATGATATTTTTGTTTGCTTTTGATATCAGGGTAATATTGGCCTTATAGAATGAGTTGGGAAATGTTCACTTCTCTTTCATGTTTTTGAAGAATTTTAAAGAATTGCCATTAATTCTTATTTATCTATTTATTTATTTATTTATTTATTTATTTATTTAGAGACAGAATCTCACTTTGTCACCCAGGCTGGAGTGCAGTGGTGTGGTCATGGCTCACTGCAGCCTTGATCTCTTGGGCTCAAGCGTTCCTTCCACCTCAGCCTCCCTAGTAGCTGGGACTACAGGCATGTACTACCACACCTAGCTAATTTTTGTATTTTGTCTGTGGACATGAGGTTTCACCATGTTGCCCAGGCTGGCCTCGAACTCCTGGGATGAAGCAATACACCCATGTTGGCCTCTCAAAGTGCTGAGATTACAGGCGTGAGCCACTATGCCCAGCCTATTAATTCTCCTTTAAATATTTGCTATAATTCACCAGTGAAGCCATATATGTGTAGGCTTTATGTGTTGAAAGGGTTATTTTTTTTAAAAATTATTAGCTCAATATTTGTATTATAAATATATTTAGAATTTCTATTTTTTCCTTGAGTCCATTTTGATAGATTATGTATTTCCAATAATTTGTCCATTTCATTTAGGTTATCTAATTGGTTGGCATACAATTCTTCTCAATATTATGTTATAACCCTCTCTCGTTTCTGTGAGTTTGGCAGTAACATCTCTTTTATTCCTGATTTCAGTAATTTGAGCCTTCTCTCTTTTTTTTCCCCTTGGTCAGCCTTTATTGTATTCATCTCAAAGTAATTTTCTAATTTCTCTTTTGATTCCTCTTTGACTGATTATTTAGGAATGTGCTATTTAATTTTCTTTTCTTTTTTTTTTTTTTTTTTTTGTGAGACGGAGTCTCACTGTTGCCCAGGCTGAAGTGCAGTGGCATGATCTCAGCTCACTGCAACCTCCGCCCCCTAGGTGCAAGTGATTCTCCTGCCTCAGCCTCCAAGTAGCTGGGATTACAGGCGCCTGCCACTGCACCAAGCTCATTGTTGTATTTTTAGTAGCGACAGGGTTTCACCATCTTGGCCAGTCTGGTCTTGAACTCCTGACCTCCTGATCCACCTGCCTCGGCCTCCCAAAGTGTTGGGATTACAGGCGTGAGCCACTGTTCCCGGACTTCTGTTTTTTTTTTTTTTTTTTTTGGAGATGGAGTCTCACTCTGTCAGCCAGGCTGGAGTGCAGTGGCGCGATCTTGGCTGACTGCAACCTCCGCCTCCCAGGTTCAAGTGATTCTCCGGCCTCAGCCTCCTGAGTAGCTGGGATTACAGGTACGTGCCACCATGCCGGCTAATTTTTGTATTCTTAGTAGAGACGGGGTTTCACCATGTTGGTAAAGCTGGGCTTGAACTCCTGACCTTGCGACCCACCTGCCTTGGCCTCCCAAAGTGCTGGGATTACAGGCGTGAGCCACCCGCGCCTGGCCTGCTATTTAATTTTCATATATTTGTGAGTTTTTTCAATTTTCTTTCTGTTATTGATGTTTAATTTCTTTCCATTATAGACAGAGAACATATTTTGGATTATTTCTTTTTTCTTTTTCTTTTTTTTTTTTTTTTTTTTTTTTTTGTGAGACGGAGTCTCACTCCCTCTCCAGGCCAAAGTGCAGTGGCGTGATCTCGGCTCACTGCAACCTCTGCCTCCTGGGTTCAAGTGATTCTCCTGCCTCAGCCTCCTGAGTACAGGATGCTGGGACTACAGGCATGCACCACCATGCCCAGCTAATTTTTGTATTTTTAGTAGAGACAGGGTTTCACCATGTTGGCCAGGATGATCTCGAGCTCTTGACCTCATGATCCGCCCACTTTGGCCTCCCAAAGTGGTAGGATTACAGGCATGAGCCACTGCACCCAGCCTCTTTTCTTTTATACATAGAGATAGGGTCTCACTCTGCCCAGCTTGAAGTGCAGTGGCATGATCACAGCTCACTGTAGCCTCAAACTCCTGAGCTTGAACTGTCCTCCCATTTCAGCCTCACAAGTAGCTAGAATTGCAGGCATGCACCACCACAAACAACTTGTATTATTTCTTTTTTTTTTTAAACTGTTTTGTTTTTCTAGAGATGGAATCTTGCTACGTTGCCCAGGCTGGTCTTGAACTCCTGGGCTCAAGTGTTTCTCCCACTTCAGCCTCCTTGGCTTAATAATTTTTTGTATTACTTTTGTTTTTTTAAAATTATTAAGGTTTGTTTTATGGCCTCGCATATGGTATATCCTGGAGAATGTTCCATATGTACTTGAGAAGAACGTATACTCCGTTCTCATTGAGTGGAGTGTCTCTTGATGTCTATTAGGTCCAGTTGTCTCATAGTATGTTCAAGTGTTCTATTTCCTTGTTGATATTTTGCCTAATTGTTCCATTTATTATTGGAAATAAAGTATTGAAACCCTCAACTATTATTGCTGATTTGTCTATTTAAATCTTCCTTTCTATCAGTTTTTGCTTTATGTATTTTAGTACTGTGCTGTTAGGTGTATGTATGTTTATAATCATTATATTGTCCTGGTGTATTGATCCTTCTATCATAATAAAATGTCCCTCTTTATTTTTAATAACTTTTTATTTTAAATTTTATTTTTTCTGATACCAGTATAGCCACTCCAGCTTTCTTGTGCTTGCTGTTTGCATGTTATTAGTTTTTCCATCATTTTAATTTTAACCTATTTGTATCTTTGAATAAAAAGTGTTTCTTCTGGGCCAGACATGGTGGCTTACATCTGTAATCCCAGCACTTTGGGAGGCCAAGATGGGAGGATCACTTGAGGCCAGGAGTTTGAGACCTGTCTGGTCAACATAGCAAGACCCCATCTCTATTAAAAAATAAAGTGTCTCTTCTGTAGATTGCATATAGTTGAATTATGTTGTTGCTGTTTTTTAACCCAGACTGACAATCTGCCTTTTGATTGGATTGTTTAATTCATTTTTTTTTTCTAGAACCAGAGTCTCACTCTGTTGCCCAGGCTGGAGTGGAGTACGGTGCACTATCATAGCTCACTGTAACCTCAAATTCCTGGGCTCAAGCTGTTCTCCCACCTTAGCCTCCCTAAGTGCTAGGATTACAGGCATGAGCCACCACACCCAGCATAATTCATTGATACTTAATGGTATTATTAATATATTTGAATTTATATCTGCCATGTCACTTTTTGTTTTCTTTATGCGTGGTGCTCTGTTTGTTTCTCTATTCCTTCTATACCACCTTCTTTCGGATTAAGTGAATCTTTTCTAATGCAGAATTTTAATTTCTTTAATGATTTTTTACAATACATTTTTGTTATCTCCTTAGCTATTGATCTAGAATTTACCTTATACATCAGAATCAGCTTCCAATTTATACTAATTTAATTCTGTTGGGAGACAAAAATGTTATTTCTGTATTGCTTTACTTTACTTCCTTCCTTTTTGTTTTGTTATTGTTATACAGGTTACATCTATAAATGTTACAAACCAAACAATACATTGTTATAATTATTTATATATATGTATACTTTTAAAGAAGGTAAGAAAAGCTAGTATATATTTATAGCTTTTGTTAAATTATTAATTTTCTTTTTTTTTTTTTTTTTTTAAGACAGAGTCTCACTGTGTCACCCAGGCTGGAGTGCAGTGGCACAATGTGATCTTGGCTCACTGCAACCTCCGCCTCCTGGCTTCAACCCATTCTTCTGCCTCAGCCTCCCGAGTAGCTGGGACTACAGGTGTGTGCCACCATGCCTGGCTAATTTTTTTATTTTTATTTTTAGTAGAGGCAGGGTTTCACCATGTTGGCCAGGCTGTTGTCGAACTCTTGACCTCAGATGAGCTGCCCACTTTGGCCTCCCAAAGTGCTGGGATTACAGGTGTGAGCCACCACACCCAGCCTTGTTATATTAATCCTATTTATCATTTCTTGTTCTCTGCATCTGTTCCTGTGGATTTAAGGTGCCATCTGGAATTACTTCCATACCCCAATACGGCTTTGTTCCAATCCATCTTCTTTTTGCTGTTATTGGCAGATACATAATATTTCTATACGTTATAGGGTGAACTATGCATTACATACACATTGTTTCATAAAATTGTTTTCTAAATAATTTAAGAAAGGAGAATAAATATGCATTTATATTGCTTTTTATAATTACATAACTATCTTTACCATTGCTTTTTGTTTCTCGTGTGGATTTGAATTACTTTCTGGATTCAGTTGCTTTCAGCTTAAATAACTCTCTTTGGTATTTCTTGTAGTGTAGGTCTGCTAGAAACAAATTTTTCTCACTTTATCTGGAAAAGTTTATTTTACCTTCAATTTTAAAGTTAGCTTTGCTGAATATATGACTTTTGTTTAATGAATGGTTTCATTGGGCACATTGAGTATGTTATCACACTGCCTTCTGGCCTCCATTGTTTCTGGTGAGAAGTCAGCTTTTAATCTTCCTTTGTAAGTTTGTAAGTGATGAGTCATTTTTCTCTTGCTGCTTTCAAGATTTTCTCTTTGTCTTCTAGCATTTTTATTATAATATGTCAGCTTGCGGATCTCTGCACTTATCTTACTTGCAGTTCATTGAGCTTTCTGCATGTGTTGATTAATGTTTTTCAATAAATTGGGAAGTTTTTAGCCATTATTTCTTTTTTTTTTCTGCTTCCTTCTCATTCTTTCCTTCTAATAGTCCCCTTACACATATGTTGGTGCATATAATATCCCATAATTCTCTGAGGCCATCTTCATTTTTCTTCATTCTTGTTTTCTCTGCTCTTTAGAGTTAATATGCTCTATTAATCTGTTATCAAGTGTGTTAATTCTTTATTCTCCCAGTTCGAATGGACTCTTTTTCCCTCTAGTGAGTTTTTCATTTCAATTATTGTTCTTTTGAACACCAGAATCTCTATTTCATTTTTAAAAATATTTCCTTTTTATTTATATTCTGTTTGATTTGACATTGACATCGTACCTTCTTTCATTTCTTTAATAATAGTTTCCTTTAGTCCTTCAAATATATTTATCATGGTTACTTTGAAGACTTTGTCTACTAAATCTGACATCTGGTAATTTTCATAGGCAGTTTCTGTTGCCTGCTCTTTTGGTATTGGTGTATAGTGTATAGTTTATACTTTCCTGTTTATTTGCATGCCTCATAATTTTTTGTTAGAAACTAGGTTATTTTAGATAATATATTGTACCAACCCTGGGTACTTGTTCTTCCCACTCCAGGTCTTATTATTTTTGTGTGCTTGTTAACTTCATTGTGTGAAACTGCTGATGTTGTTACTCAGGGGGTACAGCCTTGGGTAGGCACATAATCACCCTGGGATAACACTGATTTTGGCAGGGCTCCCTTTAACTGCCTCTTTCCCTGACCACAGCCAGCTCTTAAATCACGCTAATTACCGGCTGATTGCTCTTTTGTTTTCGACAACACCCTGGGGCACAAATTGCTTCACAGACTGATCCAATCAAATTTGGGCACCTTAGTAGGAATATTTTCTTAGGTTAGTGTTTAAGACTTGCTCTGACTCTTGGAGGACTTTTTTGCTGCCCTTTCTCTCTGTTTTCTCTCCAGCAAACTGGTTGGCCTACAGTTTAGCCTATAATTTTAATAAATTTACCAATTTCCCCCAATTTTCTTTTACCATAACCTTCTTTGTTCTTGAGAGCACCCTTAGGCTTGAATTTTTCCACACTCAGTTGCAAATAAAGTCAGTTATTTTAGGGAGAGATTCAGAGCTCTCTCTTCTAAGACCTACCTTTCCCTTAGGGCAGAATCTCTGAGCCACAATTCTGGTCCTGGAGACTGGAACAATGGCATAATTCTCTCTGATATCTCTGCTTGAGAACATGAGTGCTTGGTGGAGGAAGGAGACAATAGCCCTTAATCTTTTTAGCTTGCCTCTCTTAGAATGCATCTACTGCTCCTCACTCAATCCAGGGTCAGGGAGATCGATGCCCCAGTATGCTCAGTAGCACCAATGCCCAAGATTTAGCTTTGTCCTATGGTTAGGGGCTGGGTGGAAAAAAGGAGCCACCACCTCTTGGCCACACTAAACCAGAACTTAGCCTCAGCAACAGGTAATTGGGGGAAGCATGAGAAATGGTTATGTCCTGCTCCTCCTAGGAAGATAGCCCTCTAACTGAGATCTAGGAGGAATAAGGAGTCTTGTATTTTTGGATGTTTCAGTCTAGAGTAGAGCTCACCTCTTCACTGGGCTTGGAGGCAGGGTTGGAAGAGTGGGTTTTGGTTCATTTACCACAAACTTTCACTGTCCTTAAAATTTTAGTAGCTTTTTCTTGAATAAATGATTTTTCATTTGTTTTATGTCATCAGAAACATTTCCAGAGACTTTAGATGGTTGTTTATATAATTTTCACCAGTTTCACTGTGAGCTGGTTCACAAAGTTCCTCATGCTGTCATGACAGAAGTGGCATATATCCATTTACATGTAATGTTAGTATTGATGTAGGTGGAATTATATCTATATTAATTTGGTTTTGATATCTCATGTCTTTTTTGTTCTATTCCTCCTTTCCTGCTTTCTTTTGTACTAAGTAAATATATCCTAGTAAAATTTTTGATGATTTTTTTCACATTTTAAAAATTTTCTTAGTGGTTGCTCTATGGTTTGCCATATACTTCTTAGCTTATCAGAATATACTTCAATTTTTAAAATTTAATTTAATTTTTTTTAGAGACAAGGTCTTGCTCTTTTTCCCAGAGGTGGAGTGCAGTGGTGCAATCACAGCTCACTGCAACCTCAAAGTCCTGGGCACAAGTGATCTTCCCACCTCGGCCTCCTGAGTAGCTGGACCTACTGGCGTATGCCACCACACCTCACCGTTTTGTTTTTCTTTGCAGAGACAGGGTTCTCACTATGCTGCTTAGGCGGGTCTCAAACTTATAGCCTCAAGCGATCCTCCCACCTTGGCCTCCCAAAGCACTGGGATTACAGGTATGAGGCACCATGCTCAGCCTTATACTTCATGTTTATATCATCTCTTTTGAGGTATACAAATGCTACGCTTTTATAGCTCTATCGTGTCTCTTTTTTCCCATTATTATTATTCATATTACATCCATGCAATATGTTAAAATATGTTAATATATTATGATGTATGTAATATATTAAACATAAGAATACATTATTTTAATTATTACTCTATACAATTTTTTAAAGAAGCTGAAATAATAAAAGGAAGCAACTATTTACTTAGTTTGTTATATTAATCTTATTAACACTTCTGCTCTTCCGTCTCAGTATTTCCTACCATTTTTCTTTTCTTCTGCCTTCCTAGGGAGAACCATTAAGTTTTTAACATTTATATTCCATTGCAATGTGATTTTTTTCTTTTTTTAATTTGAGACAGAGTCTCACTCTGTTGCCCAGGCTGGAGTGTAGGGGTGCGATCTTGGCTCACTGCAACCTCCACTTCTTGGGTTGAAGCAATTCTTCATTCTCTTTTTTTCTTTCTTTCTTTTTTTTTTTTTTTTGAGACGGAGTCTCGCACTCTTGCCCAGGCTGGAGTGCAGTGGTGCCATCTCGTCTCACTGCAAGCTCCGCCTCCCGGGTTCACGCCATTCTCCTGCCTCAGCCTCCCTAGTAGCTGGGACTACAGGCACCCGCCACCACGCCTGGCTAATCTTTTGTATTTTTAGTCGAGATGGGGTTTCATCGTGTTAGCCAGGATGGTCTCGATCTCCTGACCTTGTGATCTGCCCGCCTCGGCCTCCCAAAGTGCTGGGATTACAGGCGTGAGCCAGCGCGCCCGGCATGCCTCAGCCTCACTAGTAGCTGGGATTACAGGAGTGCACTACCATATCCGGCTTTTTTTTTTTTTTTTTTCTGAGATGGAGTCTTGCTCTGTCGCCCAGGCTGGAGTGCAGTGGCGCGATCTCGGCTCACTGCAAGCTCCGCCTCCCGGGTTCATGCCATTCTCCTGCCTCAGCCTCCTGAGTAGCTGGGACTACAGGCGCCCGCCACCACGCCGGGCTAATTTTTTTTTATTTTTAGTAGAGACGGGGTTTCACCGTGTTAGCCAGGATGTTCTCGGTCTCCTGACCTCGTGATCCGCCCGTCTCAGCCTCCCAAAGTGCTGGGATTATAGGCGTGAGTCACCGCGCACGGCCCTAATTTTGGTATTTTTAGTAGAGATAGGGTTTTGCTATGTTGACCAGGCTGGTCGTGAACTCCTGGCCTCAAGTGATCTGCTCGCCTTGGCCTCCCAAAGTGCTGGGATTACATGCATGAGCCACTGAACTCGGCTTATTCTTTTTAAAGACCAAAGTAAAATAAAAATGTGTTGGTGGATTGAATTGTGTCCTCCAAAAAGATGTCCATGTCCTAACCCCAGTACTCGTGAATATGATCTTACTTAGAAATAGGGTCTTTGTGGATGTAATTAAGTTAGGGTTCTGGAGATGAGATCATCCCGGCTTAAGGGTGAGCCTGAAATCCAATGACTGGTGTCCTTATAAGAAAAAGGAGAGGAAGATTTGACATGTCATATGAAAGAAGGCCATATGAAGGTAGAAGCGGACATTAGAATTATGCTCTCACAAACCAAGTAATGCCAGGAGCCACCAGAAGCTGGAAGAAGCAAAGGATTCTCCCCTAGAGCATGGCTTTGGCAAACACCTTGATTTTGGATTTCTGGCCTTTAGAACTGTGAGAGAACAAATTTCTGTTGTTTTAAGCCACCCAGTTTGTAATAACTTGTTATGGCAGCCCTAGGAAACTAGTATACCTACCAAGTAAATACTCCAGATTTATTTTCTATGTAGATCAATTTTTGCTTCAGTTTATAAACATTTTCCTCCCTGTCCATTTAAGACTTTGGCCACAGGGTTAAGAGTGGTGATTCTAATTGTTCCAAAATACTTCAGAACATTAGTCCCCATTTATTAGTATTGATCTTGAACAACAAATAAACACATTTCATGGGAACACATACATTTCAATAACTTTCCTATTCCCTATCTAGGCATTACAATCAAGAAAGTAGCAGGGAAGTTGTGCCAGTTCATCAATTTGTTGCTTATCATCTCCAAATTCACCATTATTGACTGCTCTGTGAAAATGGATCTGATCCATTTAAGTATTTTTCCTTTTGTCAGCTGGCAATGAAGCTTTTCCAGTAGAGGAAACTGGAAAGATGTTGCAGAGAGAAAAGGTTTTGCTCCCTCCTTCTGGCCGGCTTACTGGGTAGGGTGTTCCTGCAGCTTGTGCAGCTCTCTCCAGTGGCTGGCTTCTGTGTTGCAGTTTCAATAGCACCAGGCCACTTCCCCTGGCACCCTCCCTCTTGTGGTTTTTGTAGTAGAGTTCCTCTGCTGAAACATTTCCCTATGAACATCCTTCTCAGGCACTCTAGCAGGCCAATTCCAGAGGGTGGGTTTCCAGCAAGTTCTAGAATGCAGGGTTCCAGTAATTTCCAGAGGTTGGAGTTTCAGCAAGTTCTGCCTGTAAGGCAATACAGAATATTTCCTGCCATAGAGTGACTCTCCACTGGCTGTGTTCTCTCTAAGAAGGTCTGGATCTCAGCTAAGGGAAGAGAATGCTTTATCTCAGTTCCAGGGGTAGTGGCTATCATATCTACTATTATATACCTGCTACATCTGTAGTATTTAGAGTTCTCTTTACTTCTTGCTAGCTAAGCCCTCATTATTCCAATTTCCTGTTATCATTAATAATTGAACTGACTGATACAGAGGTGATCATGGAATAACTGCCACATAAATTTTGAAAGAGTACACAAATACATTTTCACACGAATTTTATAACAATTCCTTGAAGTAGACATGGCAAATACTATTTATTATTCACATTTTACAGGTGAGGAATGAGGTTCACAGGCTGTGAGTGGACCAAATTCATAGTCATTTTTATCATTTGTAAAATGAGAATAACAATTGAACCTATCTCCTAGGGTCATTGTAAAGATTAAATGAGGTAAGCACGTAAAAGTGCTGAGGACATGATAATGGCTTGTTAAGTGTTAACTGTTACATACAGGTCAAACATCCCTAATCTAAAAATCCAAAATTCAAAATGCTCCAAAATCCAAAATTTTTGAGTGTCAACATGATGCCACAAATGGAAAATTCCACATCTGACCTCAAGTGGAGGATCACAGTCAAAAGGCAGTCAAGACTTTGTTTCGTGCACAAAGTTATTGAAAATATTATATAAAATTATCTTCAGTCTATGTGTATAAGGTATAAATGGAACAAATGAAATTCAAATTTAGACTTGGGTCCTATAGCTGAAATATCTCATTATGTATATGCAAATATTCCAAAATCTGAAAAAGTCCAAAATCCAAAACATTTCTGGTCCCAAGCACTTTGGATAAAGAATACTCAACCTGTACATTATACTTCAACTATAAAATTATTCAGTCTGGTATTTTGCTAAACTACTTGCAATGAGTTGTCTAGGTCTCATGTATCTTTTTATATCATTTTGTTGTATCAATTATTCATATTTGTTTTGTCAAGTTCCATGGCAATAACAACCAAAGATAAGCCTATCACTTCACAATTACCTCCTGTGGTTATTGCTTTCTGAGGAAAAAAAAAAATTACAAGTGAGAGCTAATCAACCTAGGCTAAGTTTATGTCAACTTAGAAATTCAAGGCCCACTGTGGTCAGTGGCAGAGCTGAGTGAGGAAACCCAATTCCCAAGAATATAGCCTTAAATTTAGATGAACCTTCAAATTGTAATATTTCAATGTAAATAATACATGCAACTTAAAATGCATTTCTGGTCTCATCAGGTTTAGGTGAGGGAGTGGGGTGGGGACAGGATGTTACGGGAAAGTAGGGAAGAAAAGGACCCGGTTTACTAATCTGTGTCAATTATCATACCAACCCCTTTCATCATTGAAGATTTCAGCAACCAAATACTGAAGGTCAGTGCGGTACCAAGGGTTGGGGTTATATATTAAACAGTGTAGTCCCGAACCTGTAGAAAACTATTGATACCTTGCATAGAGATAGGCAATAATACATAAAGATTATTGAAAACTCTTGGTTAAAGTACTTTAGTAGTATTTGAAAACACAATAGGAAATTACCCTGTAGGAATGGGATGTGTTAGATCCCAGCCGTAGATACGGCACGTGTTAAACTTTCAGAAGGGGAAACATGCTTCACGGCTGATTGCAAATTTCTCATGCAATATTTGTCAGAATCCAGGAGCATTTTAAGTGGTCTTCTAACAATATAAGCCCCGCACTTTGGACTGGTAAGTACAACATTTTCATTTGGTAAATAATAATAATTTTAAACAGAAACAAGTCACGACCAAATAGCGACTCATCCTCCCCCAGGCATAAAACCCTTTAGCCAGCTAGCCGCCTTTCCACGGGGTAGAGTATAAACAGCAAACAAAACCGCTTTGGTACCGGGAGGAAAAAGGGGAAAGGAGTCGAGTCAAAACACCGTCTCTTAAGTTCCTCAAGATCAACCCAGGGGGAAGGGTCCTCCACCGGAAAGGGCCGGATTGCCTTCACAGGAAGGGAAAGTCACTCCGGAGCTCGCAGACGCGAATGCCACCACAGAGTTCCAAGGCGGCTGCCAGAGCGTCGGCCGTCAGTTAGCACCTCCCCCTCCTTCCCAGAGCTGTAGCTAAGCAACCATCGGGCTCCGGGAGAGTCTAGGCTCAGCTGCTGTATTAGTGCCTCTAGCGGGGAACTATGAGCGCTGCAAAACCCTATCACCATTTTTACCCTCCCCTCTCTCCACCCCCTTTGCCCCCGCCCACCTCTTCGCCACTTCGGCTCCTCCCTCTTCTCGCTCCGTCTATCTCTCTCTCTCTCTCTCTCTCCGCCCCCCCACCCCCCGCGTCTCTCTCTCTCTCTCTCTCTCTCTCTCTCTCTCTCTCTCTCTCTTTTTCCTCTCTCTCTCTCTCTCTTCTCTCTCTCTCTCTCACTCACTCACTCTCTCTCTCCCTCTCCCTCTCCTCTCCTTCCTCCTCCGCCTCCTCAGCTCTTGGGCTAGAATATCTATGGGTCGAAACGTGATGCGATGAATTCGAGAGAGAGCGAAACTAGGACGAGGAGTGCGGCGGAAGCGGCGGGACTCCCGGGCATGGGGGCTTCACCACAATAGAGGCAGCGCCCCCACCCGCCCCCGCCAGCCCCTCCGGAGCGAAGCCCCCAAACCCCCTCGGGAAAAGGATGGCGGCAGCACCTACCCAGATCGAAGCCGGTGGGTAGCTGTGTCGGGGGGTGGGGGGGTGCTAAGGGAATGGGGGCTTAGCGCGAAGGCTGTCAGTTTCTTTTGAAAAAGCTTCTATTTCTCTTCTCTACCTCCCTCTGAACCTCTTTTCCCCCCTCTTCCCCAGAGCTGTATTACCTGATCGCTAGGTTCTTGCAGTCTGGACCCTGCAACAAATCCGCTCAGGTAAGGGGAAGAAAGAGATCTGGGAGTCGTGGTGAATGGTCCCAGTGGGGAAATCGAGGCAGCGGGACGAGCAGTTCCGTTGAGGGTGAGGGAAAGGCCGGCCTTGACTAGTCAAACGGTCAGCGGCTGGGCTTTAAGTGTGGAGGGAGGAATGGGTTGATGGCCCGAGCTGCTCCTCATATCTGTGTTTCCCTTTTGCTCAGGTGCTAGTGCAGGAGCTCGAGGAGCATCAGGTACGGAGCCCCTTCGGGAAGGGTGGGGAGGGTTGAGGTGAGACTGGAGGAAGGGGAGGGCAAGTCAGGGGCGGAAGACGGGCTGGGATAGAGGCTTCGATCTGGGTACCCGTAGCTGTTGTCACCGGGGTGAATTGGCTTCTTCCCTCAAAAGGGGCAGACAACGCTGGGGTCTTAACTCGTCCCCGCTTTATGCTTGTGGGAGGCAGTTTTTCAGGATTTCCTTCTCGACCCCCCTTCCCCCCCCCCCCCATATACTTGTCTAGCTCTGAGCCAATAGCTATCAGGCCGAGAGAAATAAAGACGGTAAAGTGTTGAGGACTGGGACACAGGTTGGGTCCAGTTGATGGGGAGCGGAGGCTTTTCCTTCATCATTTGCCTCCGCTTCCCCCTTTCTTTTCGTCCGGCCCCCAGCTGATTCCGCGCCGCTTAGATTGGGAGGGGAAAGAGCACCGAAGAAGCTTCGAGGATCTGGTGAGTAAAGTTTTCATTTCAACTTAACCTAACTCTTTCACCACTCCCTCCCCACCTTGTACCCCCAACCCGCCCCCCACCTCTCAGCCGACGAGGTTCTAGAGCTCGGTGCAGAGCCAAAGAACGACTGCCCCTTCCCCCATCCCTGCTAGTCGGAAAAAGGGTACCTTGCCCTCCCCTTGGCCCTGCTTGTTTCCACCCGAAAACTTTGAAGAATGTGAGTTGATTATCAGAGGTGCCGTGTTGTGGATTATGAATATGTTACAAACATTGGGGAAGGCCCATTGTAGGCGGAAAAGGGAGAGAAACCAAGGGGTTATCTTGGGGCACGTACTAAGGTCTGACGCTGGCCAATGACAGCGTTGGTAACAGCCCGGAGTTCCGGATTAGTGGAAGAAAACTGGTTTCTGGTTGGTCCTGGCCTGAAATACGGGAACTAAGGCCAGGCTTGGTCTTTTTTGGGGGGGGCGGGGGGGCAGGGGGGAGGCGTGGGAGGAAGGGGCTCTGGAGGGGAATTGACGGACCAGGGATTAGGAAAAACGACATAATTAAAAATAATAAGGAGCGTCAAGCCAATTTCAAATTTTGCCGGTTAGGTAATGGTCTACTGAGTAAAAGCATAATCGTTACGTATCTCCGATTTTATAAGCTCATTCAATTATCAGTTAAGTCGCATTTGCATAGACCCGTTTTCACTAAATAGAAACTGAGTTATCACTTTTTGAGAATTGGTGAAACACGATTTTGGGTTTACAAGGAGACAACAATGGACATATTTAAAAATGGAATATACTTTAGTGAAGGACCAAAGGCATTGGTCTATGTTGTTTCTCCTGCAAATATAATTCATAGTATAAATGTACCTTGTGTTCAGCATTGACACACAAAAACAGGTGATCCTTTTTATTTTGCGGGGGAGGTTCCCTTGTGTTAGCTGCTGCCACAGTGCATTGGAGGGTAGTGAAAGGAGAAAGGAATGATGTTACTAAAATCTAAATTCAGCTATCTTTCCTTCAAGTAAGATCCAAGTGGAGGAAAATCGGACAAAGTTAAAGAAAGTTGGCGGTGTATGATAGACTCTAAATATAAATGATTTAAAATTTGCTTGCAATAAGACTATATTTAAATTGCTTCAATGTTCATTTTGTTATTTTTGTTTGTGTTATCTTACAACAGTGAGGCCACATTATTATTATCAAGTCTACCGACTGTATAGTTTTCTTATATTTTGCAAATCACAGAAAATGGTATAATTGTGATAAGGGTAAACTCGACCATCTGTATTATTAATAGTAACAATTTCTCAGATGGAGAAAAATTAGTTTTGAAAAACTTCATGTACTGCCAGGTTAATTTGTAGTCAGTCTTTCTGTTGGACTTAAGTCTTTCCCTCCCCCTAAAAGAGGCAAAAACAACAGTGCCTACTAATATGTTTTAACACTTAATGACTGATACAGGTTTTTATATATAGTTTTAATACTGAGGTGTATTGAAAATGTTTTCCTTTACATTTGTCCTTCTCACAGCCTATATGTGTTATTTTAAGCAAGTGGCAAAGGAGATTAAAAGGAAAAAGCTTTTTTGAAACTAACTTGACAGTGATAAAAAGGAAATGAAAATCAAAGTAATTAAAAAATAGTCTCCTCACCAAAAAAACCCCAACAACCCAGTTTACTAGACTTTTCCTCATATTGTAAAGACATTTTTACATAATTGTGATCAGTGTCCATTTTATGCTTCATATTTTTCTTAACATTTAAAAATGTACTTGTGTATTTGAATAGTCATCATTATTTTAATGGTAAGAAAAAATTCAGTTGTATTTAAGGTACGATATGATTTGAACCAAGCTTCCAGTTGAGCATTTGAGCTACTTCCAGATTTTTACTAATAACTTTGCATAGTTAGGTGGTCTTTTTCTGCTTTTTACTTTCTCCCCTATCCCTTCTGCCCCCAGTTATTTTCCTGGACTTTATTCCCTAAAGTGGAGTTACCAGGTCAAAGGGTCTCATGAGTTTTATAGCTCTTGTCATATATTGTTTGCTCTCCAGAAGATTGTACTAATTTATAATGTCATCATCTAGGTATTTAGAGTGAGTTTTTTAATAGCTTTAAATCATTCAGTTTCTTTAATATTTAATAGATGGCAATAGCTCCTGGTTGACTTAAGTAGCTCTTTTTTTTTCATTACTAGTGAGGCTTAACCTTTAAGGAATTAAATAAAATTGTTAATTCTTACATATACTCAATTTTAACGTATCTTTTAAATATTCTTTTCTGTTTTTATATTTTCTATTTTTTTTACGTACACAGAGTTTGTTCTGTTGTTTGAACATTATAGTTTAGATACCATGGTTTTCTTTTACATGTCTGTTCTCTACCTATGGACTTCTTTGTAAGAGAAGATGGGCAGGGTTGAGTGATAATTTGAACAGAAGTGTAGTGGCTGAGAAGTGAATGTGCAGTGTTGGTTTGATTGCTAAGTTTGTCAGTAATATTTTTGATTAAAATTATTTCACATATGACCTGATTTTGAGTGGCTGCATTGTAGAAGAGATGGGATACTTTTTCTTGGGGTAGGTGTTTTTGTTTTTTTCTTTTTTTTGAGAGGGAGTCTCGCTCTATTGCCAGGCTGGAGTGCAGTGGCGGGATCTCGGCTCACTGCAACCTCCGCCTCCCAGGTTCAAGCGATTCTCCTGCTTCAGCCTCCCAAGTAGCTGGGACTACAGGCACGCGCCACCACGCCCAGCTAATTTTTGTATTTTTTAGTAGAGACGGGGTTTCGCCATGTTGGCCAGGATGGTCTCGATTTCTTGACCTCGTGATTCGTAAACCTCAGCCTCCCAAAGTGCTGGGATTACAGGCATGAGCCACCGCGCCCGGCCTGGGGTAGGTATTTTTTAAATTGTTATTGGAATGATAGATTTATAAAGTGTGGTCTTTGATTTAGCTGCATGTTTTGGATTGAAATTTAGGGCAAAGTATTAATAGTATCATCTTGATTTACCTGGAATATTACATTATATAGCAGCATTACAAACTTAAGGTGTATTGGGGTATGAAAAGGAAAGAGTACAAATGTACAATGAAGTGTTAACTAGGATATCAACATAGTAAATAGGGGTTGCATGGCCACGTATACTGCATATATGAGACAAAAATCCTGCCTTTTTGTTCATATGTATACTTTCATTTGAACTGATTGTCATTAATGCTTAATTTATCAGAATAATATTAAGGTAATGATAAATTGAATTTCTTCAACATTTCATTACTACTGTTAGTAGTAGTAATGAAATCCTTACCTTCTGTTTTCTGAAACAATCATCTGATTCAGTGTTTATACTAAATTACATATTCTAGAAATCCTTGCCTTCTGTTTTCTGAAACGGTCATCTGATTTAGTGTTTAGTGTTTTACTTGTAATTTTGAACACAAGGGAAGGTGCTTTTTTATTAAAGCTGCTTGCAGTTAAGTATTGACGTATCCTGATCTGAAATGTCATTTAAAAAAGAATCTGTACATGATGAAGCATTTTGGTCAGTTTATGTTGAACTGTAAGATTTTTGAATATGGCATTTAAAATATAACACTCTAAATTTTCCAGAATTTTAAGTAATGATAGAGGGAAAATTTTGAAGTTGTGATTGTTTCTGAATTTTCATCTGGGCACTTTATTTTCTGCTTCCTAGTTGGCTGTTACTGACCACATAATAGAATAAGATTTGCTTCTTGCAATTCATCTTAAGGTAGATAATTTAAATAATACAGATGTCCTTTCATTTGTGGTGACCCTATTGAGTTGTTGGCTAATTTATTGCTTCCTCCTTGGAGCTTTACTGGGGACAACAGAGTAATCAAGGTTGTGTGTGTTTAAATGAACAGTTCTTGTTAATCTATAAGTTTTATATATTGAAATGGTGATTTGGAAACTTTTTAAAAACCACATTTTAAGATTTTTAAATCATTTTTAGGAGTCTCGTATCATAAGACTGAACCAGGGCCTGGTGTGGTGGCTCATGCCTGTAATCCCAGCACTTTGAGAGACTGAGGCAGGCGGATCACTTGAGGTCAGGAGTTCAAGACCAGCCTGGCCAACATGGCAAAAGCCCTTTTCTACTAAAAATACAAACATTAGCCGGGTGTGGTAGCTCATGCCTGTAATTCCAGCTACTCAGGAGGCTGAGGCATGAGAATTGCTTGAGCCCTGGAAGCAGAGGTTGCAGTGAGCTGGAATCGCACCACTGCACTTCAGCCTGGGTGACTGAGACTCTGTCTCAAAAAAAAAAAAAAAGACTGAACCAAAGTTATAAATGTGTTTAGGTGTGGTATATAGTTTTACATTTATTTCGCATTTTCATCTCTAAAACTGAAAGCACCAGTTAGCGCTTACATTTGGAATGACATAGATTGTATTACCCTCATTTTATATGCAAAATACTAGAAGTAATTTTATGTTTTTTATGAAAAACTTTTATAAAGATTGTTTGTTATTGTCCTTAAAAAATATACATACATCTATGATTATATGTTGTTATAAGAAGTTGCATCTGCATATAACACATTCAAGTTTAAAAGTGTTTTCACATTATCTCATTTGATCCTCACCAAGTACTTTAAAACACTGTATTTAAATTCCAGACATACCTGTATTCTTTTCTTAACCAGCTGTTGTTCTCCAATTACTAATAATAGCTTAAATTGTCAATTAGAATAGCAGAATGATCTTTGAGTGCTGGTAGCATAGTTATTGCATCTCTAAGTGTGGAAGCAGTTTAAGCATGTTTGATTTATTAACTGCCATGTGGACATAGCCATAGTTAGGAAGAACAGGATGCATCATGGGATATCAAAAAGCATGCTCTGCTCAACCCCAGTGCAGTGTATTGTGCATATAATGCTAACTGATAGGTATTATGACAGAGAGAGGTCAATATCTGGAAATCGGTATTCCTGACTACTCCTGACTACTGACTTGCTTGAGCCACCACGCGCTCTCTGAAATATATTGGCTTTAGCGATTTGTCTAGATTGATCCTTGGCATTTTTTTTTCCACAGATGGGCTCTAAGGAACGTACTTTCAATGATTTAAAATCCTTTTGGAGATTTATCATTAATCTTAGGATAACTGGTATCTCAGTACAAATGAGATACTGTGAAAGTGAAGAGAGCTGGTGTTAGGGACTAATACTTTGGATTCAGTGAACTTGCCTTAATGAAATTTTGTCCTGAGCATCTTTGTCACATTTGAATATTAGTTTTAGTTCCTGTGTTTTAGTTTTTGTTTTACTACTGATGTTGATTACTGATTGATTAATAAACACTTTCCTTTTGGTAGGCAGCAAAATGGTATTCTAAAAAGGTAGTTTAGTGTTTGTGTCATAATTTAGAGATGCCCTTGCTTGACATTTCTTTTTTTTTTTTTTTTTTTTTTTTGAGATGGAGTCTTGCGCTGTCGCCCAGGCTGGAAGGCAGTGGCGCAATCTCGGCTCACTGCAAGCTCCGCCTCCCGGGTTCACGCCATTCTCCTGCCTCAGCCTCCTGAGTAGCTGGGACTACAGGCGCCCGCTACGCCCGGCTAATTTTTTGTATTTTTAGCAGAGACGGGGTTTCTCCGTGTTAGCCAGGATGGTCTCGATCTCCTGACCTCGTGATCTGCCTGCCTCGGCCTCCCAAAGTGCTGAGATTACAGGCGTGAGCCACCGCACCTGGCCTGCTTGACATTTCTTACATGGGATTTTGTGAGTAGTAGAAAAGACCCTAATATTTAGTATGGAATATAGCCTTTACTTGTTGAGTGACCCTAGGGAAATTACTTAAGCTCTCAGAGATTGACTTTCCTCAATTATAAAATGAAAATTTCCCATTTATTGTGGGGAACAAGTGAGTTAAATGTGAAAGAATGCATTTTGTTAATTGTAAAATGCTGTGCAAATGAATTGTTCGCTACATTTTAAAATTAGGATAGAGAGACCGAATAGCCAGCATGGAAATCTGGAGAACTATGACCCCAGATGTTATATTTTCTTAGTCGATGAGATATCATCCCCTAATTTTCTTAATTTTTAATTTTTTTTTTTTTTTTTTTTTTTTTTAAGATGAGAGTCTTGCTCTGTCGCCCAGGCTGGAGTGCAGTGGTGCGATCTTGGCTCACTGCAACCTCCGCCTCCCAGGTACAAGTGATTCTCCTTCCTCAGCCTCCCAAGTAGCTGGGATTATAGGCGTGCGCCACCAGACCTGGGTAATTTTTGTATTTTCAGTAGAGGTGGAGTTTCACCGTGTTGGCCAAGGCTAGTCTTGAACTCCTGACCTCCAGTGATCCGCCCACCTCAACCTCCTAAAGTGTTGGGATTACAGGCGTGAGCCACCATTCCTGGCCCTTAATATTTTTATAAAGTAAGGGGCATATAAAACAGTACTATAAAAAAAGAATATTTAAAATGTTAGTGTCAGAATTGAACTCAGAATGAGTGAGCTGTTTCTGTGTTAACACAAACATGAATGTATGTCAAAAGATATTTAGTGTAATATGCATTTTTTATGAATGCCAGTGTAACACTGGTGTAGTATTCACTTTTTTTTTTAAACAAATGGGAATTTTATTGTGAGTCTTTCATATGTCTTATTGCAGGGATTCTCAACCCTTCTGATTGTATCCTGAATTTATTTTCTATATATTATTGAGATTTATTTACTTATTTATTTGAGACAGAGTTTTGCTCTGTGACCCAGGCTGGAGTGAAGTGGCACTCACTGCAACCTCCACTTCCCGGGCTCAAGCCATTCTCCTGCCCTAGCTTCCAGAGTAGCTGGGATTACAGGCATGCACCACCATGCCCACGTAATTTTTTGTATTTTTAGTAGACGTGGGGTTTCACCATGTTGGTCAGGCTGGTCTTGAATTCCTGACCTCAAGTGATCAGCCCACCTACGCCTCCCAAAATGTTGGGATTACAGGTGTGAGCCACCACACCTGGCCTAATTTCTCGTATTTTAAGTTACCCTGTTTAAAATGTTTTCTCGTCCGGGCGCGGTTGCTCACGCCTGTAATCCCAGCACTTTGGGAGGCCTAGGTGGGTGGATCATGAGGTCAGGAGTTCAAGACCAGCCTGGCCAAGATGGTGAAACCCTGTCTCTACTAAAAATACAAAAAATTAGGCGCGGTGGCAGGCGCCTGTAATCCCAGCTACTCCAGAGGCTGAGGCAGGAGAATCCATTGAATTTGGAGGGCGGAGGTTGCAGTGAGCCCAGATCTCGCCCACTGCCCTCCAGCCTGGGTGACAGAGTGAGACTCCATCTCAAAAAAAAAAAAAAAAAAAAAAAGATGTTTTCTCATGCCCCTTAGTATCCGCCATTGTGTCTTATAGTTAGCTGGGTCTCAATTATTTGTGGTTTTCTTAACTTTTTTTAGAAGCATGATATATATAGATATATATATTTGGTTTATTTTATCTGCTAGTTGGTACTGGGTTCTTTTGTTGGACTTTTCTCTACTGAGCACCTACTAGAATGTGGGTGGGTCCCCTGTCCTTGTCTTAATTTCATCTGCCCTCAGGTTATAGTGCTTTTCAGTGCTTTCTTGAGGCAGTGTAAGCCAGAGAATACTTGACCCTAGGAGGGTCGCTTCTGGTGGTCTCTTTCTTGAGGAAATCTTAAAACTAATAAAAAGAAAAAGAAATGCTATGCATAATGATTAGCATTTTCAAAGGTGAGTGATAGGAAGTTTTAACATTTTGTAAGAGCAACTAGGGAAAGGCCTGCCTGCTGTCTTTTTTTTCTTTTTTTTCCCCTGCCCGGTTTTTCACTTCTCTTTCAAATTCAGCAACCATTAAAACACAGCATTTGATTTAGGTTATTGTAGACATCAAAAAGAGAAAACCCAGTTAATTTTTTATGTTTTCTTTTATGTTCAAAGAGAAAAACCAGTTAATTTATGTTTTCTTCCAGTCTTGTTTTTTTTTTTGTACAAGTATTTGTATTTGTATTTTTTTTTTTTTTGAGACAGCATCTCACTCTGTTACCCAGGCTGGAGTGCAGTGGCTCGATCATGGCTCACTGCAGCCTCCACCTCCCGGGCTCAATCAATCCTCCCACCTCAGCCTCTGATAGCTGGGACTACAGGCATGCACCGTCATGTCTGGCTAATAATTTTACTTTTTATAGAGATGGGATCTCACTTTTTTTTGCCCAGGCTGGTCTTGATTTCTTGGGCTCAAGCGATCCTCCTAGGATTACAGACCTAAGCCACTGTACCCTGGGGTTTTTCATTAAAAAAAAAAAAAAAAGAAGCCCTTCTTAATAAGGAGATATTATGCACTAGTTACCATGCAGAATTGTATTGGGTTGGGGTGCCTTTCTCTTTGCTTGGAATGCCCTTCTTTCCCTTTCTGTCTTGTGAACTTTTCTTATATTTTTCAAGGGTGAAACTGGACATGAACCCTTAAACCTCTAGGCAAAATTAGGTGTACCTTACTTCTTTGCTTCCTTAGTTCTCTACTGACCTCTGGGCACTTGCAGCTTAATTTGTTTCTATTTACTATTTTGTTTGCTCCTCTAAGACTATGGGTTCCCTTAGGGCAGCAATTTAATCTTCTTTCCATTGCTTTCCTATACTTTAAATGGCTGAATGAATGCATGAGTGGATGACTGTCTTTGTCCTAACCGAACTTTAGTAGATAGTTATCATTACTGTTTTACAGATGAGGAAGTTCAGGCTCAGAGAGGCTAAGAAACTTTGCCTAAGGTCATATAAGTAGTAACTGGGATGCTGCAAAGATTCAAATCAGTCTCTCTACTGGATCATACTGCCAAAAAAGAGTAACAGCTAGTAAATTTTAGTTCCAGGCTCTCAGACTTCAAAGTACCCTGTTATCTCTGTAGTACACTTACATTGATATAAAGCTTTGCTGTATTTTTCAAAATCCATTTTGTTTTCTGTCCCTAAAGAGCAAAAGATTACATGACTAACTTTTGTATATGCCTGTTCTGTCCTCTAAATCAATCAACCAATCAGACCCAGGCAAAATGTTACATTTTACTTTTTGAGCATGCAATCTCAGTTTGCTTCTTCATTTAACTTCTGTAGCCATGGTCTTGGAAAACAAATAGCGTATTCTCTGCTATATTTGTTTTTTAGAGTTACTTGTCTGATACTATTATTTTTAAAAGCCAGGGTAAACAAATATTTTTGGTGTTTGAAAGTTAGTATTTAGAATGTAGCTCCTGGTGCAGTCCTGGCCTCCTGAGATTTGCTACCTTTTACATTTTATTCAGTGCCCAGCTGGATTTCTTTTAACTAATTATGATGAATAGTATCATCTCCGTGAGTTTTCTGATTTTCTCAGTTGTCATAATGATTCTGAAGTATGGTAATTCAGTTATTAGATTTGCTCTTCAGGTCAGCCAGTCTAACTATCAAGAAGGTTTATAATCTAGGGTTAATTTAATGTCTTTCAGTTTATTCAGATTTACAGTTTTCATTGCTTTGCAGCTTTGTGTTAATGATTGCTATCATTATAATTTTTCAGCTGCCTTAAGAGGACAGTAGTAGAAAGAGGAGTGGGCAGAGAAACCCAGATTCCTGTATTGTTTCATTGTAACAATTGGACAAGGCACTTCTGGATCTGTTTTCTCTTCTGTAAGGTGTGGGGTTAGGTTGATTATACATAGGGATCCTTACATTTCAGAGATTCTATAATTTAACTTTTAGAGCTGTTTTATAGAATAATATAGAAGTTTGAATTATACTCTTAACAAAAACCTTTTTTGGTAGAGATGGAGGTCTCACTATGTTGCCCAGGATGGTCTTGAACTCTTGGCCTCAAGTGATCCTCCCATCTCTGTCTCTCAAGTGCTGAGATTACAGGCGTGAGCCACCACACCTGGCCTTATATTATACTCTTTTTTTTTTTTCCCCGTATTATACACTTAAACTTTGTTTATAGAGAATGTTTTTCTTCTGCAGGCCTCAGAGCACTTAACTGTTCCGAGTCAGCCATTATATTCCAGAGAGATAAATGTAGTTAAATGACTGAAATTAGAATGTTTGAGCTTTAAACAAAAAGAGTGGTTTATAATATTAAGACATGAATTTTATAGGCTATGATATAACAATATAGATTTATTTAAAAATGTAAAAAAAAAACTATTCGGGGTAAGAGTTCTTATTTTGAAAAGATCACCTTTAAAAATTTCCAGCTTTAATGAAAAGCAAACAGATTCAAGTAAGCAGTTAACTACCCTTATAAGACCTAAAGTTTGATTTAGAAGAAACATTTTAAGAACTACATCGATATAGTTTGGAAGCCTGCTAATGTGGTTTGAAGGAGAAACTAGCATGTTTAAACTCAAAAGATTGTTATTGCCATTATTTTGATCAAATCTGTTTCTCTAGTGTTACAATCATATTTTATTTATTTATTTATTTATTTAATTTATGTTTTTGAGGTGGAGTCTCGCTCTGTCGCCTAGTCTGGAGTGCAGTGGCGTGATCTCGGCTCACTGCAACCTCTGCCTCCCGGGTTCAAGTGATTCTCCTGCCTCAGCCTCCCGAGGAGCTGGGACTACAGGCGCTTACAACCAGACCCAGCTAATTTTTTGTATTTTTAGTAGAGACGGGGTTTCACTGTGTTAGCCAGGATGGTCTCCATCTTCTGACCCTGTGATCCATCCGCCTCGGCCTCCCAAAGTGCTGAGATGACAGGCATGAGCCACTGCACCCGGCCATATAATCAAATTTTTATTGATTTTAGAGCAAAGGACTTTTTCAATGTAACTGCTTAGAAATCGAGCAATTTTCTATTGTATAGAGTGAAAGTCAAACTTGTTTATTGTACAAGTCTTTAAAGGGATAGTTAGGAGTAAGTTGTATTTGCTGAATATATAGACCTCATTTGTAACCATTAATGATTCTGTATTTTTGAATTATTACTGAGTGATTGATAAAACTTTTTATATAATTAGCTGAAAATCAAACATCATTGTTTCTATAAAATGCAATAGCCAGGGAGCTTAAGATATCAGTTTAAGATGTAACTCCAACAAATTTTCTTTCTATAGGAGGGTAACTCTAAAAATTCTAATTATAGAACTCCCATTTTCTGGATTGTATATGCTAAATGTGTTGTATTTCTAGGGTAGTTAAGTGAAGTTTTTATGTAACAACTGAATATCTTGAGTTGGTCCAGAGGATTAAAAAAAATAATTACCAGTAAAAATGTCAACTACTACTCTATGTAAAAGCCCTCTTACAGCATTTACTTGATGAAAAAATAATGGCTGATAACAGAAGCCCAGTTTATCTAAGACAGTTTTGGGAAAAAAGGAATAAGCTGTTACAGTTGTTAATATGCAGCACCTTAAGACTTTTTTTCCAGATACATATTTTAAGGGTACTAATTATATTTGCATGTAGTCATATTTAGGAAATGCCTGAATGTGCAGGGTATGAATTATAAACTAGGATTTTAGGATATCACTCTGTAGATGATAGGAAATGATTTATTCTTATTTTTATTTTTATTTTTTGTAGAGATGAGGGTGGTGCTATGTTTACCAGGCGAGTCTCGAACTCCTAGCTTCAAGCAACCCTCCCTCCTCGGCCTCCCAAAGTACTGGGATTACAGGCATGAGCCACCGTTCCCAGCCATGAAGTATTTTTTAGATTGAATCATCAGCTGCATTGACTTTAATATTACCTCTATATTTTTCTGAAACATAGCTCTGTATAGTTGTTTGCTTGGAAGAAAAACTAAAGATGTGAGAATTAATGGAAAGAATTTACTTAATCCTCTGTCCTGATGCTAAACCCTGGAGATGCAAATCTGAAATAATCTGATTACCATTCTTCCGGAGCATCATGACAGTTGCACAGGCTTCAATTATTTTGGTAGATTCAAATTGTTTTTTTTTGAAGGAACTTACCAAAGATATATAGCAGGATATAATTTAAAACAAAAATAATCACAGGTGATTCACTCATGTTACCAGAATTCTGAATACATGTTGGACTGTGGTTCTTTGACCTGTGTTTCCTAGGAAAACAAAAAAGGCATCCTGATACGAGAATTTGAGATTTTTTCTCCAGGAATTCTTACAATAACATTGATTAGGTTGGGCACGGTGGCTCATGCCTGTAATCCCAGCACTTTGGGAGGCTGAGGCGGGTGGATCACGAGGTCAGGAGTTCGAGACCAGCCTGGCCAACATGGTGAAACCCCGTCTCTACTAAAAATACAGAAATTAGCTGGACATGGTGGCTTGTGCCTCTAATCCCAGCTACTCGTGAGGCTGAGGCAGGAGAATCACTTGAACCCAGGAGGCGGAGGTTGCAGTGAGCCAAGATCGCACCACTGCATTATAGTCTGGGTGACAGAGCGAGACTCCGACTCAAAAAAAAAAAAAAACAAAAACATTGATTATAGTTAGACTTTACTTTGATTTTTATTCATTTATTCAACAAATATTTATTTAGTCCTGCTTTATGCCCAACACTTTTTTGGGTGCAAGGAATACATCATTGAAAAAAAAACACACAAAATATCTTCTCTCATGGTGATCACCAGAGATGCGTTAGAAAATTATTCTTTTGTGTTTTATTGTTGTTCTTTGTTTTTGGAGACAGGGTCACCCACGGGCTGGAGTGCAGTGACATGAACACAGTTCACTGCAGCCTTGACCTCGTGGGCTCAAGCAATCCTCCCACTGCAGTCTCCCGAGTAGCTGGGACTACAGGCGTGCCACCATGCCTGGCTAATTTTTGTTGTTGTTGTTCTTTTTTTTTCACTTATTTTCATTCAGAGCCATAATTTTTACATTTTTTGTAGGGATGAGATCTCGCTATGTTGCCCAGGCTGGTCTCAAACTGCAGGGCTCAAGTGATTCTCCTACCTTTGCCTCCCAAAGTGCTGGGATTACAGGCATGAGCCACCGTTCCCAGCCTATTGTTCTTGATTGACCTGGTGGTAATAGTATTGATGTGTGTCCTATTCAATGGCATATATATACACACATATATGTATATGTATACATACATATACATATATACACATACATGTATAGATATACATAGGTATCTATACATATACACATACATATACGTGTATATATACATATGTGTATATACCACTGAATATACACACATATATGTATATATGTGTGTATATATACACATGTGTGTGTGTGTGTATATATATACACAATTATAGCACTTATAAAAATTGACATTGTAGCCAGAAGTAGATTTTAGGACCTGTTTCAAGATGAGAATGTAGACGTTCACTTTATCTAAAGGTTTTTAATATTCTGGTTTTTCTTTTTATTGTTTTAACAATTAAGTATTTATGAAACACCTCAGGGATTTGTACATTAGCTTAGATTAAAAATGCAACACGATTTTTGTTGTTTTATAGTTTCATTCTTATCTATATATGGTATCTAATGTCCAGAATTGTACTTGTTTTTTTAAAAACAAGTTTTTGTTTCAAGGAATTTTGGCTACATAGCTGAGTTATTTAAAGCATAGTATTTATAACATTGTTAGTTTTATACCCTTTTGGAAACAAGTTAACTTTAATAGGAAAAACAGTTTTGCTTTATTGGTTGTGGGTTTGGTGCAAGTAATACCTTTCACTTGTATTCTTATCATTTGTATAGAATCTAGGTCTTCTGATTTTGGATCAGTTCGTCACTACTGAATGAATCAAGTAATAGAGAGTTTACTCATCACCTGTGTGCTTTTTTGATTTTGGGATGTTAGTTGCTTTGTAACACTTATTTCATAAGATTAACAGCTAAGCAAATGACTTGATTAAGACATTTAAATGTATATTAGAGTGCCATGCCATGTAAATGTTGTCATATCATTTAAATGTGCTGATTTTGTGACTGTTTCTTAAATTTGGTCAATTATTAAATATTTAAAAATTCTCTTCCTGATTCCATATGTATATGGAATATATATATATGGAAAATATATATCTATACACATACATATAGAGATATATATATATTTTTTTATTTATTTTTATTTTTTTGAGTCGAGGTCTCTCTCATTCTCCCAGGCTGGAGTGTGGTGGTGCAATCTCAGCTCACTGCAACCTCTGCCTCTGGGGCTCAAGTGATCCTTTCACCTCAGCCTCCCGAATAGCTGAGATTAGAGGTGCAGCCACCATACCCAGCTAATTTTTGTATTTTTTGTAGAGATGGGGTTTTGTTGTGTGGCCCAGGCTGTTATCAAACTCCTGGGCTCAAGCCATCCACCTGCCTCGGCCTCTAAAAGTGCTGGGATTATCTGCCTGAGCTACTGCACCCGGCTCTGATTCCATATTTTATTTATTTTTATTTTTTTTATTTCTTTTTTTGAGTCAGAGTCTCGCTGTGTTGCCCAGACGGGAGTACAGTGGCACAATCTTGGCTCACTGCAACCTCCACCTCCTGGGTTCAAGTGATTCTCCTGCCTCAGCCTCCTGAGTAACGGGGATTACAGGCGTGCAGCACCACGCCTGGCTAATTTTGTATTTTTAGTGGAGATGGGGTTTCACCATGTTGGCCACGCTGGTCTCGAATTTCTGACCTCAAGTGATGTACCTGCCTCAGCCTCCCAAAGTTTTGGGATTACAGGCGTGAGCCATCGCGCCCAGGCCTGATTCCATATTTTAAAACTGTACTTTGCTCTATAATGAATGGAACAATTTAGTAGTGGAATAGATTTATATTTTTAAACCAAATAAATGTGTTTTTCCTGTGTTTTATTTATACTTTTTTAGGTGGCAGCAAATGCACACATTCCTCCAGACTACCTCCTTAAAATTTGTGAGAGAATTGGTCCTTTACTAGATAAAGAGATCCCTCAGAGTGTTCCTGGGGTACAGACATTATTAGGTGTTGGTCGGCAGTCTCTGCTACGGGATGCCAAAGGTGAGATTTTCAGAATTTAGGACTGTGATATCAGAGGAAGGAGTGGAGAGTAGCTTATTTTTAGATTGAGTAAATGTTCCCATGCTTTTCTAAATACTAGTTTTTCTTATCTTGCCAATGTTGTTTTTGTTTTCTTAGTGTACAAGTAAATTTTTAGAGACCTAAAAAGGAGTCCTTTTGTGTAAAAGTGAATATATATAGGTAAAGAATATAAAATACCTTTGTAATCATGGAATAGAGATCTCAAAGATTCCTGCTTTGATTAATACAGTATAAATACTTACAATATTCTTTCATTATAATGTTCTTACTCTTTATTAGTTTTGATAATGTCATCCTAATGATATTGTACTTTTCGTAACAGGTAAATCAAAATTATATGTACAATTTTAATATTTGAACATATTTAAGCAAAAATATCAACCTATCAGTAATTTTTTTTTTTTTTTTTTTTTTTTTTTGAGACAGAGTCTTGCTCTGTCACCAGGCTGGAGTGCAGTGGCGCGATCTCGGCTCACCACAACCTCCGCCTCCCAGGTTCAAGCAATTCTCCTGCCTTAGCCTCCTGAGTAGCTGGGACTACAGGCGCGTGCCACCTCGCCCAGCTAATTTTTGTATTTTTAGTACAGACAGGGTTTCACCATGTTGGCCAGGATGGTCTTGATCTCTTGACCTCGTGATCCGCCTGCCTCAGCCTCCCAAAGTGCTGGGATTACAGGCGTAAACCACTGCGCCGGGCCTCAGTAATTGTTAAATAAGCTTTTCTACTCAGCTGATTTTCAGTGTTTTACAGATTTTTCCCAAGTTTTACCTGGAACCTCAATATGTCAAACATAAAGTGGTATTTGATAAACATAAAAATGTAAAATTAGGCATTAAAGATGCCTATTGGAGTAATAAATACTTAAGGTATAGCAGCCCATTTATTTCTATGTTTTGTTTAATTAGCATACTATTTTAAAAAATCCTAATTCTCCAAGGTAAATAGTTGTGTAATGATACCAGATTTTAAGCATCTCATTTTATAATTTAAGGAAATTCTTAATTGAGTTTATTTGGAAACTTTCAAGAGAGCTTTTGGGTTTTTGTTTTAAAGCCAAGTTATTAGTAATATTTAATATTTCCTTACATTTTTTGACTTAAACATGAAAGAGAAAAAAACACAGCTATTTATAACCAGTTACCATCTGATATGCAGTGCTGTTATCTGTTATGACACAACTGGCAAGTATTTCATAATACGAACATGTACCCAAGTATAAATATGCCTGAATTTTCCCTGGCATACTTGTGCTATAGTTATATCCTTGCTTATACGGTTTTATATGAATAGACGTGTAAGCCTAAAGATCAAGAAGAACTGATGTAAACTTTAAAGCTTATTAATCTGTGACATATTTATTTAAGATTCAAATATGTGCATAAAAAAAGCTTTAGTTCAAGACTAGCTTAGAAATAAAATATCCAGATGATATGTTAAGGTGTTGGGTGGTTACCAGTTATAAATTTAGTTTATAACATGTTCAAATATATGCCTATTATTTTCATTTTGGTTTAATAATTAAAAATGTATTCCAACAAATTAAATTAAAATCAGACATTTGCTTCTGAGACATGGTTAAAAAAAAAACTGCTCTATTCCTTAGCAACCTTTGTTCTTTTTATATAGACTGTAAGAGTACACTATGGAATGGGTCTGCTTTTGCGGCTCTGCATAGAGGCAGACCTCCAGAACTACCTGTAAATTATGTGAAACCTCCAAATGTGGGTGAGTAATATACCTGTGTGTTATAAACAGATTGTTGATTCTTTCCTTCCTGAACTCATTAGGAAGACAAAAATAGGTACCAAAATTAAATTGGAAGCATAAACAAACTGTTTACATTCCTGAGGAGTTTCATGGCTAGTCCAGATTTTTAAAACATTTTTACTTAAAGCAAATACAATGTTTTATAAAAGGTGATCTTTGTTTTCTTTATTTCATTTCATTTCACTTCTTTCTTAGCAGAAACTTCTTTTTTAATATAGTATAGACGTTTTTAGCCATATGGTTGTCTATTTACATGTCTATGTGCTGAGTTTCCCAAACAAAAGTACATTATTTATATGTGTTGTTTTCCAAAATTATAATGATGTTATACATTTTTATATGTCTGTATTAAGACAAAAAGTCACCTTTCTTGGTTCCAGTTTAATGAAATTCACGTCTCATTCAAATTATTCTTGGGACATCTCTGGCCAGACCATTATGAAGAAATACTAGTAGTGGTTCCCAAAGAGATCTAGATACAAAACTATTTATATTAAAGTTCGCCCTCACAAAGTATGTGCAAAACCAAGGTGCTGGGTGAGTAATTGCTCCTCTGCTCCATTACTTTCTCGCTCTTCTAAAAAATTACGTTATTTTATATATAGTGCCTACAGAATATGCCTATAATTTGAAAGGGATGAATTTCAGATAGAAAAATATGAATACTTTTTTAAAAGGAATACTTCTTATACATTAAGCTTATGTAGTTTAGCCTCAGAGGTTAAGTAAATTGAAGCTAGAAATATTTCTTAAGATATATTTAGACAAAATCATTGATTAGACATACATAGGACTTATTCAGGGAAATTGGATACTCTGAAGTATATTGCTAAAAATACTTTTCCATAGCTTGGATGTTACTTGGAAAAGTTGAGTCTCATTGAACATGGTATTGCTAACTTTTTTTTTTCCAAGAGTTGTTTGTTTATCCACCAGAATTTTCCAGTGTTCACTTTGCCTTAAAGCTTTAGTCATAATTAATATATTGAATTGAGATAACTTTTGTTATTCATGCATTTACTTATTTTCAAAATACAGTATTTTTAGCTATACTGTCAACATTATTTTGTAGTGTGTTATGCTTCATGGGTCACATGTGAAATGCTGAAGAGCAACCATTACAATATTAGGTTTACAGGCTTTCTTTATCCCTTCTTCCCTTCTCTCGCTTTTTTTTTCTTTTAACTAAGCATATACTTTCAAACTTCTGCTGGTTTTGTAAAATAAACTCTTTACACTGATTTGAATCCGTTTGTTATTCTTTTAGTAATTGCTTAGGAATTGTCATGGCCCTGGCACTGATGTTTTTAAATTCATTTTAAATCTGGCATGTTATTTGGGGAGGAGCTTTTAGAACAGAGGCAATTCGATCATGATGTATTTTCATGTAGTAACTGGTACTCAAGATGCTTAAGTTTAAGTTATTTAGAATTCAAAGCCTGACAAAAACTCACTAAGATGGATATGAAATCTTTCCAGTTTGTGATTTGAGGCAGTTTTCTCTTTGTGGGTCATAGTTCTCTATAGCTACTTTCAAACCAATCAGTTTTATAGGTTGCCAATCTAAACAAAATTTAATCATGAAGGTATATCTTTTTTTTTTTTTTTTTTTTTTTTTGAGACAGAGTCTCACTGTTGTCTCTTGTCACTCAGGCTAGAGTGCATCGGCACAATCTCTGCTCACTGCAACCTCCCCACTCCCTCGTTCAAGCGATTCTTCTGCCTCAGCCCCTGAGTAGCTGGGATTACAGGCATGCACCACCACATCCGACTAATTTTTGTATTTTGTATTTTTAGTAGAGATGGGGCTTCATCATGATGGCCAGGCTGGTCTTGAACTCCTGGCCTCAAGTGATCCACCCGCCTTGGTCTCCCAGAGTGCTGGGATTATGGGTGTGAGCCACCACGCCTGCCTGGTATATCCTCTTGAAAGTTCTGTTGAATCTTAGAACTATAAAGAATTGACAGTTTTTCGGAAAAAAAAAAAAAAGGAGTTCCATGGTCAAGTAAATGTGGCAAACAGCTTTTTAAAAATGGGGAAAAGTTAAATGAATGGTGTACTTTTCGTAGCTTTTCATATGTTAAAATGCATTGCTCACCTTATAGGGAGCATTTCCCAAGTAATTTAAGCATGGAGGCCAGGCGGGGTGGCTCACGCCTGTAATCCCAGCACTTTGGGAGGCCGAGGTGGGTGGATCACGAGGTCAGGAGATCGAGACCATCCTGGCTAACATGGTGAAACCCCGTCTCTACTAAAAAATACGAAAAATTAGCTGGGCGTGGTGGCACGCGCCTGTAGTCCCAGCTACTGGGGAGGCTGAGGCAGGAGAATGGCGTGAACCCGGGAGGCGGAGCTTGCAGTGAACCGAGATCGCGCCACTGCACTCCAGCCTGGGCGACAGAGCGAGACTCCGTCTCAAAAAAAAGAAAAAAAAAATTTAAGCATGGAAACTCTTTCCAGAATATCTATTAAGATCCTGGAAACAGATCCAAAGATCCTGTAAGTTCCTGGGAACAGATTTGGGGAACTTGGTTATAAACCCTTCTGTTTGCAGCAGAGAAACCCAAAGCTCAGAGAAGTTATTTGATTGGCCTAAGTTATATTGCTTGTCTTCTAAATAGACTATCTGTCATATTCATGGTCAGATGTCACCATATTTTCTTGGTATGACAGATTTATACCTAGAGAGCTCCAAAGATAGAGTATTAGCCATGGTACTTTTTTTAAGTCAACTGTATTAGGATATTATTGACATAAAAGGCTGTCTTTTTAAGTGTGCAGTTCAATAAGTTTTGACAAATTGTATACATTTTTGTGTAACCACCACTACAATAAAATATGGAACATTTTTATCAGCCTCAGTATCGTTTGCTCAACCCCTGGAAACCACTAATCTTTCTGTGACTGACTATACTTCATGTTATTTAAAATGTCATCTAAATTAAATCAGGTAGTAAGTAGCCTTTTATGTCTGTCTGATTTCACTTAGACCAGTGCTTTTGAAATTCATGCGTGTCATTTCATGTGTCAGTAGTTCATTTCTTTTTATTACCAAGTAGCATTCCATTCTATGAATTTACCATAATCTGTTCAATAATTTTGCCTATTATGGATAAAGCTATTATAAATATTCATGTACAGGTCTTTGCATGAATATCTTTCTTCATTTCTTTGGGTAAATAGGTAGTACAGTTGTTGGATCATATGTTAAATACAACTTTAACTTTATAAGAAACTGCCGAACTGTTGTGAAAGTAGCTATTATATGTTGTATTCCCATCAGCAATATATGAGATTTCTAGTTGTCCCACATTCTCACCATCTTCTGATACTGTCGGTTGGTATCTTTTCATGTGCATATTTGCCAGTCTGTAGATCTTTAGTGAAGTATTCACCCATTTTTTAAATTGAGTTGTTTGCGTTTTTTTATTATTGAGTTTTGAGAGTTCTTTATATATTTTGGGTACAAATCCTTTGTATTTTGCAAATATTTTCTCTCAATGTGCAGTTGTCTCCTCCCCTCCCTGCCCCCATCTTTTTAAATTGAGATGGGGTCTAGCTTTGTTGCCCAGGCTGGTCTCAAACTCCTGGGCTGAAGCAATCACCTGCCTCGGCCTCCCCCTGGGATTACAAGCATGAGCTACTGTCCCTGGCCCTATTTTATTACCAGTGTCTTTATTTATTTATTTATTTATTTATTTATTTATTTATTTATTTATTTATTTTTGAGACAGAGTCTCGCTCTGTCACCCAGGCTGGAGTGCAGTGGCGCAGTCTCGGCTCACTGCAAGCTCCGCCTCCTGTGTTCACGCCATTCTCCTGCCTCAGCCTCCCGAGTAGCTGGGACTACAAGCGCCCGCCACCACGCCCAGCTAATTTTTTGTATTTTTAGTAGAGACAGGGTTTCACCGTGTTAGTCAGGATGGTCTCGATCTCCTGACCTCATGATCCGCCTGCCTCGGCCTCCCAAAGTGCTGGGATTACAGGCGTGAGCCACCACGCCCGGCCTACCAGTGTCTTTCAAAGAACAGAAATTTTTGCTGAAGTCTAATTTATCAATTTTGTCTTTAAGACTGTACTTTTTGTGTTTGAATAAATCTTTGCCTAACTCATGCTCACAGAGATTTTCTCTTATATTCTAGAAGTTTTATAGTTTTGTTGTATATTTAGACTTTTGATCATTTTAATTTTTATATCAGGTGTGTGGTTTAGATTGAATTCATTTTTTTTTTTTTTTTGCATATGGGTGTCTAATTCCAGTATCATTTGTTGAAAAGGCCATCCTTTTCCCCATTGGATTATCGTGGCACATTTGTCAAAAAGCATTTAACCATGTATGTATGAGTCTTTCTGGACTCTGCTGTCTGAGTCTTCCAACTTTGCTCTCATTTTCAAAAAATTGTTTTGGTTTTTCTGTTCCTTAGCATTTCCACCTAAATTTTAGAATCAGCTTCTCAATTTCCCCAAAAAGAAGGTACTGAGTTTTTGCTTGGGATTGCACTGAATGTATAGAGACATTTTAGAATAACTGATATCTTGACAGCATTGAGCCTTCTAATCCAGGAACGTAGTATAGCTCTTTATTTTTGTAAATCTTTAATTTCTCATAGCAGCGTTTTGTAGTTTTCAGTGTTCAGGTCTTAACACATCTATTGTGGAAATTTTCCCTAAGGATTTTATGGTTTTTATATAGTTTTAATTTGTATTTTTAAGATTTTTGATTTTCAGTTTGTTGCTAGTAGATAGAAATGTTTTTTTTTTCTTTTTGTTTTGTTTTGTTTTTCTGTATATTGACCTCAGTACATTTACTTACTAGGTTTAATGACTTTTTTCCCTTGAGATTCTTTGGGATTCTTTATATAGATAACCCTGTTGTCTGCAAATAAAGACAGATTTACTTTTTCCTTTCTGATTTTGTGTGCCTTCTATTTCTTTTTCTTAAATTATTGAGCTGCTAGTGCCTTTACTACAATGGTGGATTAGGCCGGGCACGGTGGATTAGGCTGGGCGCTGTGGCTTACGCCTGTAATTCCAGCACTTTGGGAGGCCGAGACGGGCACATCAGGTCAGGAGTTTGAGACCAGGTTGGCTAACATGGTGAAACCCCCTCTCTACTAAAAATATAAAAATTAGCTTGGCTTGGTGGTGCATGCCTGTAATCCTAGCTACTTGGGAGGCTGAGGCAGGAGAATCACTTGAACCTCGGAGGTGGAGGTGGCTGTGAGCCAAAATTGCACGACTGACTGCATTCCAGCCTGGGCGACAGAGCAAGACTCCATATATATATATATATAGGCAAATTAAAAGGGTGAGAGTGTACAGGTTTGCCTTGTACCTGATCATAGGGTGAAAACAGATCATCTTTCACCATTAAGTATAATGATAAATGCCCTTTTTTCAGTTTGAGGATGTTCCCTTCTCTTGCCACTATGCATAGAATTTGTATAATAAATGGACATGTCCCTCTTTTCATTCTTCCCATTATATTTGGAATTATATCAGTAATTTTTCAGGGCATATTTTAACTGGTATTTTATATAAAACAGTGCTACCCAGTAGAACCTTCTGTGACAATGGAGATGATTGCAACTGAGAAATTAAATATTTATTTTATTTAATTTTAAGTAATTTGACATTCAGCAACCACATGTGGCTAGTGGCCACTATATTGGATAGTGTGGATCTAGAGTAATATGGGAACAGGTAAGCTACTCTGGATAGGTGCATAATTTGATAGTTAATTTACTTATTTTACAAATTTGATTTTCTTTTTTCTTCTTTTGAGACAGAGTCTTGCACTGTTGCACAGGCTGGAGTGCAGTGGCACTATCTTGGCTCACTGCAACCCCCGCTTCTGGGTTCAAGTGATTCTCCTGCGTCAACCTCCCAAGTAACTGGGATTACAGGCTCCTGCCACCATGCCTGGCTAACTTTTTTGTGTTTTTAGTAGAGACAGGGTTTTGCCATGTTGGCTAGGCTGGTCTCAAACTCCAGATCCCAGGTCATCTGCCTGCCTTGGCCTCCCAAAGTGCTAGGATTATAGGTGTGAACTACTGCGCCTGGCCTGATTTTTAAGTTTCCTATTTTTATCCTTAGAAACTACTTTTAGCTGTTCATATCTTGATTTTAGCGACTCACTTTAAAGATTGAATTGTGCCAGTTCTTTTCTATGAAAGTTTTACAACAGACTTTGGCCAAAAACAATAAAATTCTGACCTTATCTGGACTTTGCACTATGTTGGAGTATTTATTCAAATGTTTCCGTCGTTCGTATAGTTAATCAAAAAAGTTATTTAGTAGTTTAATGAAATGAAGGTAAGGGAGCATAAGGAAGGAATTTGAGAGTTAATTCCCAGATTCTATTCTCCACACTAACTACTGTAACACTTTAAAATACATGTGTACTTACATTTACCAAGGGTGAATTTCTAGATTTCTTATGGCAAGAGCAAAAATATCTGTGATATTTACATTATTTTAGTTCTAAGTGCCAGTCATGCCATTTCATTAGCTGTATGCTTGACTAATCAAATTGGTTTTGTATTGTACCAAAATTAAATCAGAAGAAGAAAATTGAGCTAAATTCAAAATAGTGTTAATACTTAATGCCACTCAAGGAAATTCTGAGGCATATGTAATTAATATTTGTGGTATTGTTTGAGGTCTTACACTATCACCTATTACTATTTCTTCGTCATTTTAAAGATTAATATTCATTTTAGAAACTTTGCCATAGTTACACTAGAATTTGAAGTTAAAATTTCACACAGACAGTTCTGCTGCTGAGCTGGCTTGTGAGTACAGAAGTAGTTTTAAAAGTATGTTTTAGTTCAACCATGGTGGAAGACTGTGATGATTCCTCAAGGTTCTAGAACCAGAAATACCATTTGACCCAGCAATCCCATTTCTGGGTATATACCCAAAGGAATACAAATCATTCTATTTTAAAAATACAGGCACACATATGTTTATTGCAGCACTATTCACAATAGCAAAGACATGGAACCAACCCAAATGCCCATCAATGATAGGCAGGATAAAGAAAAGGTACATATACACCATGGAATACTATGCAGCCATATAAAAGGAATGGGATCACGTCCTTTGCAGGGACATGGATGAAGCTGGAAGCTATCATCCTCAGCAAACTAACACAGGAACAGAAAACCAAACACTGCATGTTCTCACTCATAAGTGGGAGCTGAACAATGAGAACATATGGACACAGGGCGGGGGAACAACACACACCAGGGCCTCTTGTGGGGGTGAGGGAAGGGAAAGCATCAGGAGAAATAGCTAATGCATGTGGGACTCAATACCTAGGTGACGGGTTAAGTGCAGCAAACCACCATGGTACATATTTACCTATGTAACAAACCTGCACGTTCTGCACATGTATCCCAGAACTTAAAATAAAAAAAAGTGTGTTTAATGTTTATTTGAAGAACTAGTATTGTTGATACTATCCATCATGGTAACAATTTTAGGAATTTTCCTAATTATCATAATCTAAACAGTTTTTATAAAATTACCTAGAAATGGTAGCAGGATGGCTCATTCATTTGAGACTGATAATCAATTTCTGGTTTTTATAGGTACATAGTAGATGTGTATATTTGTTGGGTATGTGAGATATTTTGTACAGGGATACAATGTGTAATAATCACCTGAAGGTAAATGAGGTGCCCATCACCTCAAGCATTTAGCCTTTCTTTGTGTTATACAGACATTCCAATTATATTTTTAGTTATTTAAAAATGTACAATAAATTATTCTTGACTCTAATCACCCTGTTGTACTATCAAATACTAGATCTTACTCATTGTATCTAACTATATTTTTTTACGCATTAACCATCCCCACTTCCCCGCTCTTTCCCACTATCCTTCCCAGCCTCTGGTAACCATCATTCTGCTATTTCCATGAGTTTAATTGTTTTAATTTTTAGCTCCTACAAATGAGTGAGAAGATGTAAAGTTTGTCTTTCTGTGCTTGGCTTATTTCACTTAATATAACGTTCTCCAGTACTAGCCATGTTGTTATAAATGACAGGATCTCATTTTTTTTTATGTCTGAATAGTATTCCATTGCGTATAAATACCACATTTTCTTTGTCTAGTTGTCTGGTGTTGGATACTTAGGTTACTTCAAAATCTTGGCTACTGTGAATAGTACTGCAATAGACATGGGAGTGCAGATATCTCTTCAATATACTGTTTTGCTTTCTTTTGGGTATATACCTAGCAGTAGGATCACTGAATTATATGGTAGTCCTATTTTTAGTTCTTTGAGGAGCTTCCATACTGTTAACCATAGTGGCTATACTGATGTACATTTCCACCAAGAGTGTACAAGGGTTCCCTTTTCTCCAAAACCTCACCAGCATTTATTATTGCATGTCTTTTGGATTTTTTTTTTTTTTTTTTAGACAGGGTCTCACTCTGTCACCCAGGCTGGAGTGCAGTGGTGCGATCTCATCTCACTGCAACCTCTGCCTCCCGGGTTCAAGTGTTTCTTTCACCTCAGCCTCCTAGTAGCTGGGACTACAGGTGTGCACTACTATGCCTGGCTAATTTTTGTATTTTTTGGTAGAGATGGGGTTTCACCACGTTGGCCAGGCTGGTCTTAGATTCCTGACCTCAGGTGATTTGCCTGCCTCTGCCTCCCAAAGTGCTGGAATTACAGGCATGAGCCACTGCACCCGCCCCTCATAGTTTTGATTTGCATTTCTCTGATGATCCATGATGTTGAGCACCTTTTCATATGCCTGTTTGCCATTTGTATATTTTCTTTTGAGAAATGTCTATTCAGATCTTTTGCCCATTTTTAAATTGGATTATTAGATTTTTTTTTTCTATTGAGTTGTTTGAGCTCCTTTTACATTCTGGTTATTTTTATTTATTTATTTTTAAATAGGGTCTTGCCTTATTCTGTCATCGAGGCTGGAGTGCACTGGTTCAACCATAGCTCACTGCAGCCACGAACTCCTAGTGAGCTTCCTGCCTCGGCTTCCTGATTAGCTGGAACTATAAGCATGCACCACCACTTCTGGATAATTAAAATATATATATTTTTGTAGAGATAGGGTCTCACTGTGTTAACCAGTCTGGTTTCAAACTCCTGGCCTCAAGTGATCCTCCCACCTCTGCCTCCCAAAAGTATTGGAATTACAGGCGTGAGTCACTGTGCCTGGCTATATTCTGGTTATTGATCCTTTGTCAGATGGATACTTTGTAAATATTTTTTCTCATTATTTGGGTTGTCTTTTCATTTTGTTGATTGTTTCCTTTGTTGTGCACAAACTTTTTTTGCTGTGGTTGCCTGTGCTTTTGGGGTATTAGTCAACAAATCAGAAATCCTTACCCAGTCCAATGTCCTGGAGAGTTTCACCGATGTTTTCTTTTAGTGGTTTCATAGGTTGAGGTCTTAAATTTAAGTCTTCAACCCATTTTGATTTGATTCTTGTATATGGCGAGAGATAGGGGGTCTCGTTTCATTCTTCTGCATATGGGTATCCAATTTTCCTAGCACCATTTATTGAAGAGATTGTCCTTTTTCCAATATGTGTTCTTGGGACCTTTGTTGAAAATCAGTTCACTTAAGACATATGGATTTATTTCTCAGTTCTCTAATCTGTTCCATTGGCCTATGTTTCTGTTTTTATGCCAGTACCATACTGTTTTTGGATACAATAGCCCTGTAGTGTAATTTGAAATCAGGTAAGTGATTTCTCCAGTTTTATTATTTTTGCTCAGGATGGTGTCATCTATTCTGGGTCTTTTGTGGTTCCATATACATTTTAGGATTATTTCTTCTATTTCTGTGAAGAATGTCATTGGTATTTTGATCGGGATTGCGTTGAATCTGTAGATTACTTTGAGTAGAATGGACATTTTAACAATAATGATTCTTATAATTCATGAATATGGAATATCTTTCCTTTTTTTGTATCTTCAATTTCTTTCATCAGTGTTTTATAGTTTTCATTGTAGAGATCTTTCTCTTCTTTGGTTAGGTTTATTCCTAGGTATTTTATTTTATTTATAGCTATACTAAATGGGATTACTTTCTTGATTTCCTTTTCATATTGTGCTCTGTTGGCATATAGAAATGCTACTGATTTTTGTATGCATGCTTATATTTCTAAACTGAGGCAAGGGTATGATGCAATAAGACTGTATTTTTAAACATTTTTTTCCCGAGGAAATCTCAACTGCACGACCCCTACTATGCCCCAGTTCAGCAGGAAGCAGTTAGAGCAGTCATCGGCCAACCTCCCCAACAGCACTTGGGTTTTCTTGTTGAGAGGGGGGACTGAGAGACAGGACTAGCTGGATTTCCCAGGCCGACTAAGAATCCCTAAGCCTAGCTGGGAAGGTGACCACATCCACCTTTAAACAAGGGGCTTGCAACTTAGCTCACACGTGACCAATCAGGTAGTAAAAATAGCTCACTCAAATCCTAATTAGGCAAAAACAGAAGATAAAGAAATAGCCACTCATCTATCGCCTGAGAGCACACGGGGAGGGACAATGATCGGGATATACCCAGGCATTCGAGCCAGCAACGGCAACCCCCTTTGGGTCCCCTCCCATTTTATGGGAGCTCTGTTTTCACTCTATTAAATCTTGCAACTTCAAAAAAAAAGAATTTTGTTTTTTATCTTTAGTACAATTGGCATATAGCAATATCCTGTAATTTACATAGTAAGCTTGTAATTTACACTGTATACAGCTCAGGACCCTTGCATTAATTCTAAAGCCAAATTAATATTTACGTGTTGCTCTAAGCTTTTATTTAGCATTGATTGACTCTTGACTTATTGGCCATTGTGTCGTTATATGTCACTCTTCATGCCAGAATTCACTTGGAGGTGAGGAATCTATCTCTTGTTTATATGTAAATGTAAATGGAAAGAAAGTAGTCTAATTTAAACTGTTTATCTGGCTGAGGTGACTGGGTTTCTGCCAGGAATATTTGTCACCCTCTCTAATTTTATGTAGTTCCTATATCTTGCCTATGTATCATACTTTTGCTAGGTTTTGCTTTTTGTGGCCTGCCTCACTCTACTTACCACCTTCCTCCTCTTTGTACTCTCATAATTGTGCCTGAAGTGAGTTGCTTCTGAAGCCATTACTTTTATATACCTGGAGAAGATCAAGAGATTCTTGTCACACCTGCAAGTAATTAAACTGGAATATAAACTCCATCTTTTGTATTTTCCACATTGTAAGTGCTCACTAAATATTAAATAGATGGAAGTGCTATGATTGTTGCCACATGGAAACTGAAGTATCCTTTTAAGATGTGTTTATGGTTTTATATAGCCTATATGTGTTTCTAGCCCCTTATATCCATTTCTGAAATCAGTATTGTAGTAATATTAGGATTAATAATTTAGTATCTTTTTAAAAAATGAAACAGATTTTATTATATGAGGGCTTATTTTATTATATAAAATATAATGAAAAAAGTATTTTCTCCATTTAATCCTAGTATGAACATGTTTTTTCTTTCCTCATTATTATTCCTTTAGATTTTTCTTTCAGTATACACCAAAGTATTAATCTTTTGATATTTGTTCTATATGTTTAACTCAGTACTTTATAGAGATAGAACTTTATGCTTCACAAAGGGAAGAGGTAAAACAGTGCCAGGTTTGTTTAGTTGGAGGAAAAGGCAGTCTGAAACTTCTGTGTATATTAACCAAATTAAGTTAAAAAGTTTAGGAGAGGATTTAAAAAAAATAAAGATTTGGGATGTTTATCATTCCAAATTATATAAGTGAACTTTGCAGAAAGCCTGAAAGGAATTGTAAATAATATTTCTTTGCCATATTTCACTTAATATTACCCTAGCAAAAAGATGTTCAATGGCCATGAATATGAATATCAATAGCCTGTAGAACTTATTAGTGTTATTTAAGTTTTACTGTGGATTGGTGTTATGAGATGTGATTGGCATCAACTTTGGAGACTGTATACTTTTACTATTGCTGGTTAAGGTTTTAGAGACATAATTTGATCCATAGAATCAAATCCATGAAAGAAGTAATTCTATACCTTTGTAATTTTACTAGAATTATCACATTTTATTCATATTCATTTTTGTCGCTTTCGTGGCTTCTTTCAAGATTTTAGTCTATATTAATCTGTTTAGTTGTTGGAGTTATTTTAGGAAACCCCCAACGAAGCTTCACCAAAAACTAGCTGGGACTACAGGCATGTACTGCCATGCCTGGCTAATTTTTTTATTTTTTTTGTAGAGACAGGGTTGCCCAGGCTGGTCTTGAACTTCTGACCTCAAGCGATCTGCTTTGCTTCCCAAAGTGTTGGGATTACAGGCATGAACCGCTCCACCTGGCCACTTTCCAGTGTTTTTGGCAGTATTTTCTTAGTCTATTATTGTCCTCTCTACTTAATAGAAACTAATATGCTTACTACACTTTAACCAATCAGAGGATTGCATACATTCTATTTTCTTACTTTTTTTTTTGAGACAGAATTTCTCCCTTGTTGCCCAGGCTGGAGTGCAGTGGCACAATCTCGACTCACTGCAACCTTCACCTCCTGGGTTCAAGCGATTCTCCTGCCTTAGCCTCCTGAGTAGCTGGGATTGCAGGCATGCGCCACCACGCCCAGCTAATTTTTTGTATTTTTAGTAGAGATGGGGTTTCACCATGTTGACCAAGCTGGTCTTGAACTCCTGACCTAAGTTGATTCACCTGCCTCGGCCTCCCAAAGTGCTGGGATTACAGGCATGAGCCACCATGCCCGACCACGTTCTGTTTTCTAATTAAATTGTTTGTTTTTGAGATGGAGTCTTGCTCTATTGCCCTGGCTGGAGTGCAATGGCACCATCTTGGCTGACTGCAAACTCCACCTCCCAGGTTCAAGCAATTCTCATGCCTCAACCTGCCAAGTAGCTGGGATTACAGGTGTGCACCACCACGCTCAGCTAATTTTTGTGTTTTTAGTAGAGACAGGGTGTCACCATGTTGGCTGGGCTGGTCTCAAACTCCTGACCTCAAGTGATCCACCTGCCTTGGCCTCTCAAAGTGCTGGAATGACAGGTGTGAGCCACCGTGCCTGGCCAAATTTTTTAAAAATAAAACTAATGTTGACCAGGTTATTTTTTTGTAAAAGAGAAAATACGAATCCAAGGTTATTTTAGCTCTGCTTAATTACGTACAGCTTGTTTTCTGAAAAACTCTTTGTATTTGAAGATGAGGATATTGATGATGATAGGTATGGTACAAGAAGCCTGATCTATGAACAGTAGTCCTTTCTGCCCTATGTCTGTACAGCTTTAAGACTATATTTGGTCAGTAGTTATTGGCTGAGCCTTGTACTATTTTTGATTCAGTCTTAATCTTTTGCTGAAGGCACTCCTCTCCTTGCTTCATCCCCCACTGCACCTCCATATTCTTGACTTAAAATTGAGGTAGATGTGCAGCTACTGTTTCTTAGAAGTTTAAAACTTTGTCTTGAAGTTGGTTACAGGATTTTCTTAATCTTGTAAGCATCATATTTGAACATTATTTTGGTAATAATGTTTTTGTCCTAGCCCCCAAAATTCTGGCCTACTAAAGTTGGATTGAGATTATTATTCTTTAAAATAGCTAGATTTTCTATTTTCCAAAGACTTGGTAACAAGGCACTTTTCAACTCTTGAGTTTTTTAAAGCTTAAAACACAATAGGATCTTATTTCTTACCTTGTAGTAGCTGAAATGTGGCTACTATGTTTATGAAGTTAGCTTGACCTATGGCCAAAATAATTTGGTTTCTCTTTCAATGCCATTTATTGAAAAATTGGAAACAATCTATTTTTATATAATTTATATTAAAATTTAAAACTTAGGCTGTGTGTGATGGCTGAAGCCTGTCATCTAGCACTTTGGGAGGCCTAGGATGGAGGACCCATTTAGCCCAGGAATTTAAGACCAGCCTGGGCAACAAAGTGGGATCCCACCTCTAACCAAAAAATTAAAAACTAAAAAAATTAGAAAATTACATAAGGATTTCATATATACTATGGATAACTTTAATGATTGCAGGTAACAGATAAAATTGCCCAAGAGTTATGTTATTCATTTGTATTAAAAAAATCAGAGGCCGGCCATGGTGGCTCGTGCCTGTAATCCCAACAGTTTGGGAGCCAGTGCTGGAGGATCACTTGAGCCCAGGAGTTCGAGACTAGCCTGGGCAGCGTGGTGAGACCCTGTCTCTACAAAAATTAAACAATAAAAAATTAGCCAGGTGTGGTGCTGTGTGCCTATAGTCCCAGCTACTTAGGAGTCTGAGGCAGTAGGATCACTTGAGCCAAGGAGGTTGAGGCTGCAGTGAGCTGTGTTCAGGCCATTGCACTACAGTCAGGGTGACAGAGTGAGACCCTGTCTCAAAAAGAAAAAATAATAATAATACCACTAATTTGTATACTTCTAGTTTTATCTGAACTTGGTGCCAATTTGATGATAAACTCTTTCCCAGCAGATATGATAGTTACCTGGCTTTGGTTAAGTCCTATGTCTCTTAGCATTATTGATCAGAATATTTCCTGTGATAATAAACAGAATTCAGTGAGTTACTCATCTTTCTTGGGAGTAAAATTCTGTCGTGGTTAGTGATTTTCTGGTTTAGGCTCAGGAGGTTTTTCGTGGGGGGGGGTCTTAAGAGTGCTTTTCTTGATAGGAAACTGCTGAATCTGTAGGATAATTCAAAATGCATTTTTTTTTTTTGTTTAAGCATAATCAACTAAGGACCACTAAGAATTAGCCTGTAGTCTGAGAAAATCAGATGTATTTATGTATAGTGAGCGAGTAAACTCCCAAGTAACAATGAAAGGCCTCTGGATAAGAGGGATGAGGGAAGTACTTTTTGTAAAGTTTGTTTTACATTAAAGTATTCTGAGGAGGGTCTGATGGAAGCCAGGATCAGTTCTAGATTGGTGGCTGTTAACTGAGGCAAATTGGAACAAGTGGGAATTAACTACGGATCGGGTACCATCATGAAGCAAGGACAGTTTAGGAACTGGGTATCTCCCTCTGGTAATAAGTGAAAATAGCAAAGCGGGTCCGGGGACATTGTTGGTAAGAAAGCAGTAATCACTCGAGAGGGAGTCTTCATGATATTTTACAACTGCCACATGACCTTAGGAAAAACAATGTTTCCTGTTAATTTTGCAGCTGGTTTTATCTATGTCTGTCCTCCCAAGCCTGATTAATTGCATGGTTGCTTTTTTCTTTTTTCAGTCCTAGCTGATATTCACTCTTTCAGTCCTGGATAGATTTTGACTCTTTAACATGTAGTCTTATAAATGTTTCAAAAGCAGTGGTCAATATATAACATTTTGTTATTAATTTTACTTAAGGACTTTCCTGAATGTTCTTAGTCTGTTGAGTTGAAAATCCTTTATTTTAGCCTAGAAACATTTTTCTGACATCGGTTTGAAGTTTCATGCCTGTGTGAAATAGTTGTAATACAAACATATTTTTTTTCTAATGTAAATAATGACTGGACTAGTTAGTGGTCTAACAACTCTGATGTGACCATCTTGGAATACTCTTTGGATCTTGATGAGCTTTTCAGTAGAACCAAATTTAGTTGAAGCCAGAGCCTTTGCTAATGGTGTTGTCTCTCAGGTGGAGGTAAGATCGAGGGATATTATGTATAATTTTTGCTGTTAAATTATTTCTTATTGCAGGCTCACAGCAGATTACATTTTGTAAAATGTCATTAAATAGACAACATTGAAAAGTGGGAAGACTATTAAACTAGAATCAGGAGACCTAGATTGAGCCTCTGCTATTTTTTGACTCTGTGATGTTAGGCAGCACACTTAGTTTCTTTGGGCCTTAATTTCTTTATTTACAAAGGGAAGAAACTTGCCTTCAAATCTCACAAGACTACTGTGAACTCAAATGAGATGTCTGTGAATACTTTATAAGCTTTAAAATGTTATGAAAATATAATTTGTAATTATGGTATTGGATCACAGATGCTGATAATATTGGTAATGATAATAGTGACTCAGATTAAAAATTCAGTGTTTGTGTTATCTTTATGAAAAGACTATGTAGCTCATATGCAACAATACTGGGACTCTAATATCCAAACTTAAGTATTAGACCTAAGTGCTTTGACTTCAAATCTAGTGCTCTTTGCACAAAAGTATCCTGCCAAAGTAAAAGGTGTTTTTTAGTTGTCATGATAGAACCTCTTGTCAGCTATTTTAAGTGTTCTGCAATCTTTACAATACACATATTTGCTGTCACTTGCCCAAGTAGTTTCCATCCTCTGATTTCTGTTTACAATCATAGGTTTGTATGTGTTTTAAATAAGACATGAGATAATATGATAGGAATTGGTAAAAAGCCATAATTTTATTCAATATACTCTGGGCCCCAATTGTGTCAAGTAAAGCCCCTTGAAAAATAAGTAGTGGTTTTATTAAGAGGAGAATACCCTGTTTGACATAACAAAGGCTTAGAGTTTGTGATGGGAGTTGAGACTGGAAAGGGAGGTAGGGGCCCAATTATTCTACATCCTCTATGCCAGGAGTCTGCAAATTTTTTGTGTAAAGGGCCAGATAGTAAATGTTTTTGGCTTTCTGGAACATTTGGTCTCAGTTGCAATTACTCAACTCTGTTGCTGTGAAAACAGCCATAGATAATATGTAAATGAATGAGCATGGCTGTTTTCCAATAAAATTGCATGTACAAAAAGATGGTGGGTTACATTTGGTCCATGGTCCTTAGTTTGCCAGCCCCTGGTCTACATGAATAATGAGTTTAGATTTTATCCTATTGATAATTGAGGAATCATTGGATGTTTTTGAATAGGAAAATCATATGATGAGAATTTTATTTTGAAAAGGTAACACATAAAGTAGAGTATATGATAAACTGGAGAGGAGAGAAACTGGAGAGGCAGGTAGGGAAACCAGAGGCAAGACTGTTACTATAGATATAGACAGAAAATGAATGTGGAGATGGTAGTGATAGAAATGGAGGTAATTGGATTGATTCAAGCAAGATTTTGGAGGTGGGATTAATAATACAGTTTGGTTGGATACAGGACATAAAAGAGGAAGAATAAAAAATAATCTGTTAGTCCCAAAGTTGAGGAAAGGGAGATTATAGAAAACTTGTGATTGAAGGCTAATAAACTTGATTTGGGAAATCTTCCTTTATGATACATCCAGGTAAGACGGGATGGTTGTCCATTAGGTAGTTGAAAATGTAGGCCTGGAGCTAAGGTTGAAAATAGAGGTTACAGATAAAGATTGGCAGTAATTAGTATGTGAGTAGGTAAGATCACTCAGGAACTGTGTGAGGATGGAGAAGAGAGACCTGGATAGAATCTGAAGGAACCTGGAAGAAAATTAGCTGGGCATGGTGGCACACACCTGTAGTCCCAGAAACTTGGGAAGCTGAGGTAAGATCTCTGGAGCTCAAGAGGTTGAGGCTGCAGTGAGCCGATGTGCCAGTACACTGCAGCCTGGGTGACAGAGCAAGACCCTGTCTCAAAAAAAATAAAAAATAAAAAAATAAAAAAATAAAAAAAATCTGAAGGAACCATCAGCATTTCAATAAAGGTGGGTCAGGATAGAACAAAAATATATATGCGAAACTAAGAAGCAAGGTATAGAGAGGCAGGGGGAATCAGAAATGATATCTTGTAAGTCATAAGAGAATTACAGAGTTGATTAACATTTCCTATAGAACTTACTCTATGGCATTTATATTTATCAATGGTGTTATAAGGTTGAATGATAATATTACTTAACTTTCTAGAAGTAAGTTTTATTCAATTCAGCAAATACGTGAACACCAAATATATGTAAAGCATTTTCCAAAGTGTTCAGGGCAGTTGTTGCTGTGAAGGAATTTACTCTTTGGAGAAGGTTAGGCAGATGCCAGAATGTGATTGTAGTACAGGACTTAAACTAAGTGATTTAAGGAAAGTACAAAGTGTAATGGGCATTGCAAGAAGGAGAGATGAAACGGATTAAGAAAAACATGGGAAGACTTCAAGGAATAAATGACCTTTGAGATAACTTTGAAGGGTTCATTGTAACTTGAGAAATGGAGCATTCCAGGTGAGAAGATACCTGCATAGGATAGAGGAGGAGACCGTCTATTTCAAGTGGAGAATTTATGCCCTGGAAGAGTAGGAATTATGGTTGGATGTTAATACCTGAGTGCCTATCCAAGGGACTGAGCTAGCTTAGTTAGCTTAGTGCTGATAGTTACACATTAATCCTTATTTTCAAATGCTTAAAATCTTAAATCAGAAATATGTAACTAATATAAGATATACCATAGTAAGGGCTAGAACTGAAGCAGGAGAGTTCATGTTTAGCTGACGTGATTGAGAAAGATTTCATGAAAAAGCATGCAATTTTAGCCTATGCCTCCAAGAATAAAAAGGATATTGATAGGTTGAAATGACAGAGGTGGGCATAAGGCTAAAGGAATAGCAGAAACAAAGGTGCTGAGGTTGCCCACCGGGAGATGTTTGGCTTAAGACTCAGGAAATTGCTTGTGGTCATATCAGATGTCCTCAGTTTTACTTGTACTCATTTATGTATATATCTATGTTGCATGCTAAGTTCTGTACACTTTTAGTACTTGCGTATCCACTAACACAGTCAAGATAAAGAAGTTTTAAGTCCACGAGGATTCATCATGTTACTCTTTTATAACCACATCGGCTTCCCTCCTGCGTGACTCCCCTACCCCATCTTGTCAATCACTAATCTGTGTTACATTTCTATAGTTCTGTCATTTCAAGAAAAGTTCTATCAATGGAATTATACACTATGTAACTTTCTCTTGCTCAGCATAATTTCCTGATCATTCATCTTATTTGTTGCAAGTGTCAGTATTCATTCCTTTTCATTGCTGAGTGATATTCTGTGGTATGGATGTCCCACAGTTTGTTTGGTCATTCACCAATTGAAGGACATCTGGGATGATTCCAGTTTTTGGCTATTATAAATAAAGCTGCTATGAACATTTATGTAAGGGTTATTTGTGAACGCAAACTTTCATTTTTCTGGGATAAATGCCCAAGTTTGTAATTGGGGATCATATGGTAATTGAATGTTTTGTGGCTTTTTTTGTTTCTTAGAGTTTTATTATTAATTTCTGTTCTTAATTACTTTCTTCAGGATCATTTATTTTTTTTTAAATTATACTTTAAGTTCTAGGGTACATGTGCACAATGTGCAGGTTTGTTACATACGTATACATGGGCCATGTTGGTTTGCTGCACCCATAAACTCGTCATTTACATTAGGTATTTCTCCTAATGCTATCCCTCCCCTGGCCTCCACCCGACGACAGGCCCCAGGGTGTGATGTTCCCCGCCCTGTGTCCAGGTGTTCTCATTGTTCAATTCCCACCTATGAGTGAGAACATGCGGTGTTCGGTTTTCTGTCCTTATGATAGTTTGCTCAGAATGATGGTTTCCAACTGTATCCATGTCCCTGCAAAAGACATGAACTCATACTTTTTTATGGCTGCATAGTATTCTATGGTATATATGTGCCACATTTTCTTAATCTGGTCTATCATTGATGGACATTTGGGTTGGTTCCAAGTCTTTGCTATTGTGAATAGTGCCGCAATAAACATACGTGTGCGTGTGTCTTTATAGTAGCATGATTTATAATCCTTTGCGTATATACCCAGTAATGGGATTGCTGGGTTAAATGGTATTTCTAGTTCCAGATCGTTTAGGAATCGCCACACTGTCTTCCAGAATGGTTGAACTAGTTTACACTCCCACCAACAGTGTAAAAGCGTTCCTATTTTTCCACATCCTCTCCAGCATCTGTTGTTTCCTGACTTATTAATGATCGCCATTCTAACTGGTGTGAGATGGTATCTCACTGTGGTTTTGATTTGCATTTCTCTGATGGCCAGCGATGATGAGCATTTTTTCATGTGTCTCTTGGCTGCATAAATGTCTTCTTTTGAGAAGTGTCTGTTCATATCCTTTGCCCGCTTTTTGATAGGGTTGTTTGTTTTTCTCTTGTAAATTTGTTTGAGTTCTTTGTTGATTCTGGATATTAGCCCTTTGTCAGATGGGTAGGTTGCAAAAATTTTCTCCTATTCTGTAGGTTGCCTGTTCACTCTGATGGTAGTTTCTTTTGTTGTGCAGAAGCTCTTTAGTTTAATTAGATCCCATTTGTCAATTTTGGCTTTTGTTACCATTGCTTTTGGTGTTTTAGTCATGAAGTTTCAGCTTTCTACATATGGCTAGCCAGTTTTCCCAGCACCATTTATTAAACAGGGAATCCTTTCCCCATCTCATGTTTTTGTCAGATTTGTCAAAGATCAGATGGTTGTAGATGTGTGGTGTTATTTCTGAGGGCTCTGTTCTGTTCCATTGGTCTATATATCTGTTTTGGTACCAGTACTATGCTGTTCTGGTTATTGTAGCCTTGTAGTATAGTTTGAAGCCAGGTAGTGTGATGCCTCCAGCTTTGTTCTTTTTGCTTAGGATTGTCTTGGCATTGCGGGCTCTTTTTTGGTTCCGTATGAACTTTAAAGTAGTTTTTTCCAATTCTGTGAAGAAAGTTATTGGTAGGTTGATGGGGATGGCATTGAATCTATAAATTACCTTGGGCAGTAGGGCCATTTTCACGATACTGATTCTTCGTATTCATGAGCATGGAATGTTCTTTCATTTGTTTGTGTCCTACTTTATTTCGCTGAGCAGGTTTGTAGTTCTCCTAGAAGAGGTCCTTCACATCCCTTATAAGTTGGATTCCTAGGTATTTTATTCTCTTTGTAGCAATTGTAAATGGGAGTTCACTCATGATTTGGCTCTCTGTTTGTCTGTTATTGGTGTATAGGGATGCTTGTGATTTTTGCACATTGATTTTGTATCCTGAGACTTTGCTGAAGTTGCTTATCAGCTTCAGGAGATTTTGGGCTGAGACAGTGGGGTTTTCTAAATACACAGTCATGTCATCTGCAGACAGGGACAATTTGACTTCCTCTTTTCCTAATCGAATACCCTTTATTTCTTTCTCTTGCCTGATTGCCCTGGCCAGAACTTCCAACACTATGGTGAATAGGAGTGGTGAGAGAGGGCATCCCTGTCTTGTCCCAGTTTTCAAAGGGAGTGCCTCCAGTTTTTGCCCATTCAGTATGATATTGGCTGTGGATTTGTCATAAGTAGCTTGTATTGTTTTGAAATACGTTCGATCAGTACCTAGTTTATTGAGAGTTTTTAGCATGAAGCGTTGTTGAATTTTGTCAAAGGCCTTTTCTGCATCTATTGAGATAATCATGTGGTTTTTGTCTTTGGTTCTGTTTATATGCTGGATTATGTTTATTGATTTGCGTATGCTGAACCAGCCTTGCGTCCTAGGGATAAAGCCAACTTTATTGTGGTGTATAAGCTTTTTGAAGTGCTGCTGGATTCGGTTTGCCAGTATTTTATTGAGGATTTTCACTTCGATGTTCATCAGGGATATTGGTCTAAAATTCTCTTTTTTTGTTGTGTCTCTGCCAGGCTTTGGTATCAAGCTGATGTTGGCCTCATAAAATGAGTTGGGGAGGTTTCCCTCTTTTTCTATTGATTGGACTAGTTTCAGAAGGAATGGTACCAGCTCCTCTTAGTACCTCTGGTAGAATTTGGCTGTGAATCTATCTGGTCCTGGACTTTTTTTGGTTGGTAGGCTATTAATTATTGCCTCAATTTTAGAGCCTGTTAGTGGTCTATTCAGGGATTCAAGTTCTTCCTGGTTTAGTCTTGGGAGGGTGTATGTGTCGAGGAATTTATCCATTTCTTCTAGATTTTTCTAGTTTATTTGCATAGAGGTGTTTACTGTATTCTCTGATAGTAGTTTGTATTTCTGTGGGATCAGTGGTGATATCCCCTTTATCATTTTTTATTGCATCTATTTGATTCTTCTCTCTTTTCTTCTTTATTAGTCTTACTAGTGGTCTATCGGTTTTGTTGATCTTGTCAAAAAACCAGCTCCTGGATTCATTGATTTTTTTTTTTTGAAGGTTTTTTTCTCTCTCTATCTCCTTCAGTTCTGCTCTGATCTTAGTTATTTCTTGCCTTCTGCTAACTTTTGAATTTGTTTGCTCTTGGCTTCTCTAGTTCTTTTAATTGTGGTGTTAGGGTGTCAGTTTTAGATCTTTCCTGCTTTCTGTTAGGGGCATTTAGTGCTGTAAGTTTCCCTCTACACACTGCTTTAAATGTGTCCCAGAGATTCTGGTACATTGTATCTTTGTTCTCATTGGTTTCAAAGATCATCTTTTTTTCTGCCTTCATTTCATTATTTACCCAGTAGTCATTGAGCAGCAGGTTGTTCAGTTTCCATGTAGTTTTGTGGTTTTGAGTGAGTTTCTTAATCCTGAGTTGTAGTTTGATTGCACTGTGGTCTGAGAGACAGTTTGTTATAATTTGTGTTCTTTTACATTTGCTGAGGAGTGCTTTACTTCCAACTATGTGGTCAATTTTGGAATAGGTGTGTTGTGGTGCTGAGAAGAATGTATATTCTGTTGATTTGGGGTGGAGAGTTCTGTAGATGTCTATTAGGTCTGCTTGTTGCAGAGCTGAGTTCAGTTCCTGGATATCCTTGTTAACCTTCTGTCTCATTGATCTGTCTAATGTTGACAGTGGGGTGTTAAAGTCTGCCATTCTTATTGCATGGGAGTGTAAGTCTCTTTGTAGGTCTCTAAGGACTTGCTTTATGAATCTGGGTGCTCCTGTATTGGGTGCATATATATTTAGGATAGTTAGATCTTCTTGCTGAATTGATCCCTTTACCATTATGTAATGTCCTTCTTTGTTTCTTTTGATCTTTGTTGATTTAAAGTCTGTTTTATCAGAGACTAGGACTGCAACCCCTGCTTTTTTTTTTCTTTTTTTTGCTTTCCATTTGCTTGGTAGATCTTCCTCCTTCCCTTTATTTTGAGCCTATGTGTGTCTCTGCACCTGAGTTGGGTCTCCTGAATACATCACACTGATTGGTCTTGACTCTTTATACAATTTGCCAGTCTGTGTCTTTCAATTAGGGCATTTAGCCCATTTACATTTAAGGTTAATATTGTTATATGTGAATTTGATCCTGTCATTATGATGTTAGCTGGTTATTTTGCCCTTTAGTTGATGCAGTTTCTTCCTAGCATTGATGGTCTTTACAATTTGGTATGTTTTTGCAGTGGCTGGTACCGGTTGTTTCTTTCCATGTTTAGTGCTTCCTTCAGGAGCTCTTGTAAGGCAGGACTGGTGGTGACAAAATCTCTCAGCGTTTGCTTGTCTGTAAAGTATTTTATTTCTCCTTCACTTATGAAGCTTAGTTTGGCTGGATATGAAATTCTGGGTTGAAAATTCTTTTCTTTAAGAATGTTGAATATTGGCCCCCAATCTCTTCTGGCTTGTAGAGTTTTTGCTGAGAGATCCGCTGTTAATCTGATGGGCTTCTCTTTGTGGGTAACTCGACCTTTCTCTCTCTCTGCCCTTAACATTTTTTCCTTCCTTTCAACCTTGGGGAATCTGACAATTATGTGTCTTGGGGTTGATTTTCTCAAGGAGTATCTTTGTGGTGGTCTCTCTATTTCCTGAATTTGAATGCTCTCCTGCCTTGCTAGGTTGGGGAAGTTCTCCTGGAAAATATCCTGAAGAGTGTTTTCCAACTTGATTCCATTCTCCCTGTCACTTTCAGGTACACTAATCAGACGTAGATTTGGTCTTTTCACATAGTTCCATATTTCTTGGAGTCTTTGTTCATTTCTTTTTACTCTTTTTTTCTCTAAACTTTTCGCTTTATTTCATTAATTTGATCTTCAGTCACTGATAACCACCCTTCCTTCCAATTGATCGAATCGGCTATTGAAGCTTCTGCATGCGTCACGTAGTTCTCATGCCATGGTTTTCAGCTCCATCAGGTCATTTAAGTTTTTCTCTACACTGTTTATTCCAGTTAGCCATTCGTTTAATCTTTTTTCAAAGTTTTTAGCTTCCTTGCAATGGGTTCGAACATCCTCCTTTAGCTCAGAGAAGTTTGTTATTACTGACCTTCTGAAGCCTACTTCTGTCAGCTTGTCAAAGTCATTCTTCATCCAGCTTTGTTCTGTTGCTGGCGAGGAGCTGCAATCCTTTGGAGGAGAAGAGGCTCTCTGGTTTTTATAATTTTCTCTCTGGTTTTTAGAATTTTCAGCTTTTCTGCTCTGGTTTTTCCAAATCTTGGTGGTTTTATCTACCTTTGATGTTTGATGTTGGTGACCTACAGATGGGGTTTTGGTGTGGATGTCCTTTTTGTTGATGTTGATGCTATTCCTTGTTGTTTGTTAGTTTTCCTTCTAACAGTTAGGTCCTCAGCTGCAGGTCTGTTGGTGTTTGCTGGAGGTCCACTCCAGACCCTGTTTGCCTGGGTATCACCAGTGGAGGCTGCAGAACAGCAAAATATTGCTGCCTGATACTTCTTCTAGAAGCTTTGTCCCAGAGGGGCACCGGGCTGTATGAGGTGTTGTTGGCCCCTAATGGGAAGTGTCTCCCAGTTAGGCTACACAGGGGTCAGGGAACCTCTTGAGGAGGCAGTTTGTCGGTTCTTTGTGCTCAAACGCCGTGCTGGGAGAACCACTGCTCTCTTCAGAGCTGTCAGACAGGGAGGTTTACCTGTGCAGAAGTTTCTTGCTGAGCTGAGGTGGGCTCCGCCCAGTTCAAGCTTCCTGTGGCTTTGTTTACCTACTTAAGCCTCAACAATGGTGGATGCCTCTCCCCCTGCCAGGCCACTGCCTTGCAGGTCGATCTCAGACTGCTGAGCTACCAGTAAGCAAGGCTTGGTGGGCTTGGGATTCGCAGAGACAGGTGCGGGCTATAATCTCCTAGTGTGCCATTTGCTAAGACCGTTGGGAAAGCACAGTATTTGGGTGCGAATGTCCCAGTTTTCCAGGTGCTGTCTCTCAAGGCTTCCGTTGGCTAGGAAAGGGAAATCCCCTGACCCCTTGCACTTCCGGCGTGAGGCAGTGCCCCACCCTGCTTCCACTCGCCCTCCGAGGGCTGCACCCACTGTCCAACCAGTGCCAAAGAAATGAACCAGCTACCTCTGTTGGAAATGCAGAAATCACCCATCTTCTGCATCGATCACGCTGGGAGCTGCAGACCGGAGCTGTTCCTATTTGGCCATCTTGGAACAGAATCCACATGTTTTGTGTTTTAAGAGTGGCTGTAGCATTTGATGTTCCCACTAGCCATGCATTAGTGATCTAGTTTCTCTGCATCCTTGCCTGCATTTGGTGTTGTCAAAGTTTTTTATTTTAGCTTTTCTTGTGCATATGTAGTGAAATATCTCATTGTGGTTTTGATTTGCATTTCCTTGCTGGCTCCTGTATAGTCAGGGTACGTCAGAGAAACAGAATCAGTAGGATTGATAGATGTATTTATTATAAGGAAGTCGTTTATGTGATTATGGAGGCTGAGAAGTCCTATGATCTTCCATCTGCAAGCTGAAGACCCAGGAAAGCTGGTGGTATAAGATCCTGTCCAAGTCCAAAAGCCTGAGAATCATTAAAGCTGATGGTGTAAGTTCCAGTCCAGGTGCAGAAGAGAGAGATGTCTCAGCTTGAAAATAGACAGAGAGAGGGAATCCTCCCTTAACCTGCCTTTTGTTCTATTCAGACCTCCAAGGTATTGAATAAAGCCCACCGGATTCATTGGGGAGGGCAATCTGCTTTACTCTGTCTACCAATTCAAATGTTAATCACATCCAAACACCCAGAATAATGGTTAGCCAAATGTTTGGGCATTCTGTGACCCAGTCTAGTTGACACATTAAAACTATCACAAATTCACCCTTTGTCAACTTGGCATCTATACACATTTCCTTAAATTATCTGTATTTGGAGGAATAAGTATTTAATACTTAAATAAATAAATAATCCTCCAAATAAAGATAATTGCAAGGTCATAATTTCACTTGCCATGATATATCTGTTTGCATACAACTGAAATACATTAGACCTCTTCCCCAGGAGAGAAAAGAAAGTCCTTGAGTGGTGTTTACTTTTCTCTGTAGCTTGTAACATAAATACAATGAGGTAAAATTAACATCAATTCATATTATTACATAATATTTAGTTAACATTAAATATAAGTTAGTACATCTTATTTTACATGATAAAGGAAAGCAAAGAAACTGTTTTATACACACACAGACACCTCATTACAAAATAAGGAGGAATAATATTTCATAACACTTACAGTACTCAGTTCTATAACTGGTCACATGGTTGTAGTTGGTATGTATAACTACCCTCTTTTACTACCCAGAATAGTAAAGTAAAGTAAAGTGACCCAAACCTTCATTCCTGAAATGTCTGGGCCATTAGTAGTTCTGCCTGGATTGTATTGTTGTTAATCACCAGCCTTGTATTGACCTTAATCACAGGGCATGGTAATACTATGAGATGCTCTAAAGGAGCTCTTGTATTTCAGACATTCTCTTTCTTACCTCTATTGTGGAGTAGCAGTCCTGTTTCCTCTCAGTAGTCAGTGTCAATCAATATGGTAACTGCCTTCTTTGCCTGTTGACTCAGAGGCATTGGATACTTGCTTTAAGTGATTGGCTGGGCAACAGTCTTAACTTTCAGTTTAATAGAATTATTGTTGTGTCTCCTGGTGGAAGCATTCCTCCTTTTGGAACTAAGACCTCTAGGCCAGCAGAGCAGAAGGTTATTGGAAAAGGAAGCAAAAATTTTGCTAGTGGGGCAACTAAGTAATAGTGGGTGATGTCACTCTGTTTTTACCACTTAATTCCTAGACCCTTGAATCCTGGCTGTGGGAAAAATAGCACCATATATTGTATGCTGATGGCCCAAATTGATATATAAAATTAGCTATCACAGCTACTAATGTTGAACATCTTTTTGTATGCTTATTTACCATATGTATATCCTTTTTGGTGAAGTGTCTATGCCTTTTGCCCATTTTTAATTAGATTATTTTTAATTTCATTGTTGAACTTTAAGAGTTTTTCATGTATTCTAGATACCAGTTTTTTGTCAGATATATTCTCTGCAAATATTTTCTCCTAGTCTGTCTTTTCATTCTTTTCACATGGGCTTTCAAAGTCTGAAATTTAAAAAATTTGATGACACCCTGTTTACCAATTTTCCCTTTTATGGATCTTGCTTTTGTTGTCAAGTTTAAGAATTCTTTGCCTAAGGCTGGGCGCGGTGGCTCACACCTGTAATCCCAGCACTTTGGGAGGCCGAGGCAGGCAGATCACGAGGTCAGGAGATCGAGACCATCCTGGCTAACATGGTGAAACACCGTCTATACTAAAAATACAAAAAAAAAAAAAATTATCCAGGCGTGGTGGCAGGTGCCTGTAGTCCCAGCTACTGGGGAGGCAGAGGCAGGAGAATCACTTGAACCCAGGTGGCGGAGCTTGCAGTGAGCCAAGGTTGCGCCACTGCACTCTAGCCTGGGCAACAGAGCGAGACTCCGTCTCTAAAAAAAAAATTCTTTGCCTAGCCCCATATTCTGAAGATTTTCTCCCATGTCTTTTTTTCTAAACGTTTGATAGTTTAATGCCTTAATTTAATTCTATGATTAATTTTGAGTTTAATTCTGTAAGGTGTAAGGTTTAGGTCAACGTTCATTATTCTTTCACTTCTGTATGTCAAATTGCTTCAGCACCATTTGTTGAAAAGGCTGTTCTTCCTCCACTGAAATTGAGCTGCACCTTTGTTAAAAATCAGTTAAGAAAATTTATGCAAATTTTTTTGGCCCTTTATTCTGTTCCATTGATTTGTGTGTTTATCTCCTCACCAATAGCATGCTGTTTTGATTTCTGTAGCTATGTAGTAAGCCTTAACATTGGGAAGAAGACTCCCTCTCACTTTAGTTTTGTAAAGATTGTTTTCTATATTCTAGGGTCTTTCCCTGTGAATTTTAGAATAAGCTCCTTGATGTCTACAAAAGCCTTTTGAAAGGAATTGTGTTAAACCTGTAAATCATTTGGGGAGAATTGACATGTTACTCTGTCAAACTTTCCAATCCATGAACATAGTATAGTATGTCTCTCCATTTATTGTGGTCTTTGATTTTTTTTCTTCACCATTTTGTAATTTCCAGGATAGAGATACTGTGCATATTCTGTTAAATGTATATTTAAGTTATCATTTTCTTTGGCGTGATCGTAAATAGATTTTGTTTTTAATTTTGGTTTCTAAATGTTCATTTTTAGTATATAGAAATGCAATTGAGTTTTGTGTATTGCTCTTGTTTCTTGTGATCTTGCTGGAACTAATCTCTTATTTCTAGTAGTTTTTAAACATCTTCTTAGGGCCTATTCTATCCCACTTTTGTTGCTTTGGCAGATTTATGTTCTAGGTAGGTTTGAGCTAGAATTTAAGATATGGGATGAAATCTGTTGTAGTCACTGAAACATAGTTAGCTATTGGGGTATATGATGATTTTTTTCATTTTTCTCTCATTTTAAGAAAAGCTGCTATAAAAGCAGCCATAGCAAAGAGATCAGCCTTTGAAACAAGATTGCCTGGGTTTGAATCTTGACTACCACTTAATAGCTAAGGATCTTAGGAAAGTGAGTTAACCCTTCTATGCTTCAATTTCTACATATTTAAAAAGGAGATAATAATAGTACTCACTTCATAGGGTTAAATAAGGTAAACATGTAATGTGCTTAGAATAGTGCCTGGCATATAAAAATCATTAAATATTAACTTTAATTTAAAAGGGGATTTAAAAAATATATCATAGACTCTGGGCAGCAAAGTATAGGTAAAATTTTTGCATTTATTTTATTTTCTTTATAGTAGCGATCACTATTCCTTAGAGTCGCCAGGCTAATACCAAACTTTTGCGTGGTATTCCTAACCTACCCCATTCTGAAATGTGAGACTACTGAGACCCCAGAGAGGAAAGGAAAGGGGAAAGGAACTAAGCTTTAATGAATAAATGCCTACTGTGCTAGACATTCTACAAAATTCACCTCATTTAATTCTTAGATAGGGAATATAACCTGTTTTGTAGATTTTATAGATAAGGAAGAAGCTTTGGCCACTTGTTCTTTTTTCAATACTGTATTGCCTTTTTAGTACATCATTCTACCAAGGTAAGGAGAATTGGTAAAGCCAGAGGCGACTCTGCCAGTGCTTAATTGAGCTATTCATCTGGCCTTTTGATTTTCCCACAAAATTGCTTTGTATTATGGCCTTTATCCCTCTCCTTTCCCCACCCCCCCAACACATACCCTTTTGGTTTATCTCCTGCTATTAAGTAGGCACTTGGCACCCAGAAAAATGAGGAGGAGTTCACCGCTTTAGATCCATTAATATCTTTTATTTGGTGGGAGATAAACATTGCTGATATATTTAAACATGAAGCACTCAGCAGCAGCTGTGGCATATGAAAAAGAACATTTGACCCAAGTTCGTGCCCCTTCTCTGTCACTTATCGCTTTTAGGACTTAGGAAAACTTGCTTCATCAACATGGTCCTTAGTTTTGTTATATGTAAAATGAGAAGTTGCATTAAGAATTTATCTTTAACGTCCATTCAAGGTTTAGCACAATTCTGTAAGAGATTCTAGTTCAAAGAGAGAAAGGCAAAACATGTTTGCTTGTAAACTACTTCCGAGAGCCTCAGAAATGGTGATTATCCCCTCAATCTTAACTATAAAGTTGGTTTGTATCTTTGAGGTTTGCATCTTTTTATTGCCAAAGTCAGCTGTATTTTTTTGTCTCTTGCATTTTTTTATCTTGAGAATTAAAGGACACAAAGCTCAGTTACATTTTAAATGTAAATTCTGATGAAAATTTCATTAGGATATAGTAAATGAGTAGAAATATTGTTTCTAATTGTACCTGTGGGCAAATGTGTCTTCATGTGGTTGAGTCAAATGCTTATGATTTCTACAAAAATGGGCCTTTCTAATGCACTTTAAATTTGGATTCTGCTATTGATATCTGTGTCCCAATAAGAAATGATGTGATGTGGAGTATAGATTTCATAAAAAATACTGATTTTATCTCAGTATGGAACCGTTTTTTGACAGATTGACAAATAGACAAGGAAGACTCTTAAATACCTAAGAAATCTAATTCAAATTTATTCTAATTAAATATGTAAAATATTAAACCTTAAGTTTAGTATAAAATGATAACTGCTTTACACCTGATTATCACTTTTTGTCTTTCCTCAGTACCTAACAATTTTTGGCATCTTTGCCTGCTAATTCAAATTTTTTCTGATTAAATATGTAAAATATTAAACCTTAAGTTTAGTATAAAATGACAGTTGCTTTACACCTGATTACCACTTTTTGCCTTTCCTCAGTATTTAACAATTTTTGACTTCTTTGCCTGTCATATAATTGCTTCAGTGTGTTTCAGCATAGGCTTCTTGTGGGTCTTTTTATTTTGGTCTAATAATCTATTTTTCATGCATGAAGATAATAGAAGGTAATGTGCTTTGAGGTATTTTATGCAGAAGCTATGCATTTGCAGTGATCCTTTTATTTCTTATTACTGACCTTGATGACAATATGATTGACTGGATTTAGGAGAACAAACTGATCTTGAACTGTTACAGGAAGGAATAGGTTGATGCACTAATAAAGTATCGTTAGTATAACCACTCTGTAATAATTTCTTGATTTGGATTCATTGTTATTAAGCATCTTTGTTATTGAGTCTTTTTTTTCTTTGGTTTATCACCAGTTAATATTGAGGGTCTAATACTAAGCTAACCAATAGGTTTTAAGAGATAGAGTCTCACTCTGTCACCCAAGCTGGAGTTCACTGACAAGATCATAGTTCACTGCAACTTTCAACTCCTGGGCTCAAGGGATCCTCCCACCTCAGCCTCCCTAGTAGCTGAGATTATAGGTAGGAATTACCACACTCTGGTACTAAGCTTTTAAGTCAGGATAGTAAATTAGTACATCTTGTATCACACTGGCCAAAACACTTTTTTTCTAATACTAATATTTTAGCAGATTACTGGTAATTTTTTTCTAAAATAATGGGTTGCATTGCTAATGGGTAGGACAATGAAGAAAGAAAGTAAGAAAAGAATCACATCTTTATAATAGATTCAAGATGTCACAGAGTAAGGAAAGCAAATCTATTATTGAAGACTATATGAAGAAAACCACAGTCTGGTTTGAACTTTGTTAATTTGGGTTACAATATTTCATATAATAATTTTGAAGCAAAGCAATTTAAATATGTGAATAATATTCCAGTGCACATTAGACTATCATACACTTCAAATGGCATTTTCCTGTGCCTTTTTTCAAAGTCCATTCAGTGTTCTTAATTTCTAAAGGTAATTCATTAGCATTTAAAGATATTAGTAGAAAAAATTGACCAATTTCAGGAGAACCTTTATTTGAATTGTATTCAGTTTTAATTAATTCTTTGCTATGTTCGTGATATAATTGGAGGCTTTTATGGGATAACTTTATCCCTGTTACTGTTCATTAGCACTTATAATTGATGTTGAGAAAACACAGAAAATTAAGCCCAGATAAGTTTATTTTGCTGTTTATTATGGTCAATGGTAAAATACCCAGTTTAAAAAAATATGATGGATAGCAGGTGTAATAGAAAAGAAATCCACAAAGAAGGAGGTGGTCAGTAATTCACAAGAGAAAACATTAAGGGTTCAGCAGAATACTTACAAATATTAGGTATGAAGTAACAAAGTAAACTAGAAGCTTTAACATGAAGAGTTATAGAAACTTGATGCAGGATTAGTGTTTAATATATAGTAAGAGTGGCTATTCTTGGTCTTAAACAAATAGATTTAATTGGAAGGTGAGGATTAGCAGTGCATGTTAAGTGCATTTAGGAATCTATAGACCAAAATGTGGCTGTGAAATGTGAAAAACACTGGATGGGGTTAAAAGGAGTGAGAAATCTATATGGGATTATACTACAGACTAGACAGTATGGATGATGATTTCCTAATAGGTAAAAAAGCAGGATACCCAGATCAAACTAATGCTCGACACTGCCCTTCCCCTCCACACTCCAATTATAGCTATCATGTTGAGCCATATGAAATCACTGCTTTTGTATGTAGAAAACAATTATTAGCCATTTCATATTGTTTGACCCATATAGAAATGCCCGAAAGGACCATTAAAGTTCTAATTAGCATATGGGGAAAGAACCCATAGATTTTATTTTATGGGAATAATGGTATCACATTCATAGCTAAAACGTAAGAGCTGGAGAGAATAATATTTTGCTTTAATTTTCTCTATCAAGGACACTGATAAATAAACTGCAAAGGGTAGAGCAAGCATAGTTAGAGAAAAGAAAATGCAAGGTAGATTAGTACCTACTTGCTTTAAGAGGCCCAAATTAATTAAAGCCTGTTATACTGAAATAATTTTCACTGGAAGATATTCTTTGTGAAACCAGAGTAGACAGGAGAAACAGAAATGGCCCAGTAGGCAAATATATACAAAAAGGAAAAAAGAATAGATTCTAGAAACTATAGATGGTGAACTCAGCTTTAACCCCAGACAAAATTTTAGACAGGTTTATTCAACAGGTGTTTGTGCACTTTCAGAAGATAGTCAAATTAACTTTATTTTCTCTTTCTTCTGAGCACTAGATACTATAAGGCAGCATTTTAAGAAACCTAATGTAGTCTTTGCAATCTTAACCTTCATTCGTAGAAGTGTAGTTTCCTGATGAAGGAAAATAATACACTGTACTCTGTGCTGATAAGACCACTGGAACATTGTGCTCTTACTATTTTAAAAGGCTCAGACATTGATAAACTAGAGACCTCCCAGAAGAAAGTAACCACAATAATATTTATGGTGAAGGAGTGTTTTTCTTGAGGGGATATTAGGAAAGAGAAGTATCTATAAATTACAGCTGTGAGTAATGTAGAAGGACTTAACATGTCAAAAGAAAACTTAAGGTACAAATGATAGCTATCTTTATTTCATGGATTACCATGTAATAAAGGGAATTGACTTTTTTCTTTTTAGTTTATTTTTTAAAGATGGGATCTCGCTATATTGCCCAGGATGGAGTGCAGTGGCTATTCCCACACAGATCATAGCACATCCTTCTGCCTCAGCCTCTGAGTAGCTGAGACTACAGGCACCACCATATTATATTCTTTTTTTAATGTCGTTCCCAAGGGTAGAACCTGGATAACTCTCTGGAAATTACACAGAGAGAGATAAAGTTCAATTAAAGGTAGAGTCTCCCCTAATTAGAGCAGCTGTACATATGAATTGGCCATTCCTGGAAAAGAAAAACCTTATCTTTACTAGTGTTTAGGCAGAGGTCGGAATGGCCATCTGCCATTTAGGTTATAGAAAGGATAATTTTGTGAGGAGGTAGTTTGGACTAGAATTGATGGCTCCCAAACTTGGCAGAGTATCACCATCACTGCAGAGCTTGTTAGAAAAACATTTTAAGAGTTGTATATATTTTTGTAGATCACTTTTTCCCCAGTGAAGTATTTTACTCATTCCTGAAATTGGATAAGTGATACAAGCTTTGCAGAGTAGAATGTAAATTCCACGAGGACAGAGACCTCGTTTGACTTTTTTATTTTTTATTTTTTATTTTTTTTGAGATGGAGTTTCGCTCTTGTTGCCCTGACTGGAGTGCAATGGCGCGATCTTGGCTCACCACAACCTCCGCCTCCCAGGTTCAAGCAATTCTCCTGCCTCAGCCTCCCGAGTAACTGGGATTACAGTCATGCGCCATCACGCCTGGCTAACTTTGTATTTTTAGTAGAGACGGGGTTTCACCGTGTTGGTCAGGCTGGTCTCGAACTCCCTACCTCAGGTGATCCACTCCCTTGGCCTCCCAAAGTGCTGGGATTACAGGCGTGAGCCACCGCGCCCAGCCTATTTGACTTGTTTATAATCAGTATCTCCAGGATCTATCACAGTGCTTTAGCTTCTAGTAAGAGGTAAACCAATGTTATGCTTTAAAGAAAGCAGCTAAGTCCATTGATGGCTGTTTATTGATCTTATGACTTTATAAATTTGTAAAATATATACAGTAAATCTATTATCCTGTCATTATTTGAATATTTAAGAAGTACGGTCTATCATTGAGTTAGTTCATTTTGTCTTTTGTTAGAGAACAATTTAGAAGCTTATAGTATGGAATTTTAAATACAAATATCTAAGAGACAATGGATTCTGAATAGAATATTTTGTATTCAAATACATTGTATTCAAATCTATATTTGACTAATTTATCTACTAGTGAATTATTCAACATTGCTAAAGAATTGTTTTTCTCAAAAGGAAAGTTCTTCAAATATTTTAAGACAATTTACATGTTTATGTTACCATTCAAGAAAAAACTATAGTTAGTTGATGGTTGGAAACTGACTGTAATCTCAGCTTTCAAAATATAAAGGAGTCATAAGTATTGTTTTTTATAAGTTGCAAATTCTTAACAACAGTGGGTGAAGAAGCACACATTGTTTTCCTGGCTAAAATTATGTTGATTGATTGCCCTGTTTTAATGAGTTTTTAGAAGTGTATTGCCATTTTACTTTTGTGACATAGTGGAGTTAAATTTTTTAGTAAATAGAGCCTGGGATAATGTTACTTAACTTTTAGGGTGCTTTTGAAATAATTAAGTTACTAATCAAAGTAACTAATTATATATACTAAAACTTATTACATAACCTTGAAGTATAGATTTTGAAGTTTAACAGTGAGAATGTAATGATGCCATTATAGTGAATACATCAGGCTAGGAGTATGGGGTTTTTTGATCATTTATTTGTAGTTGTTTCTTACATTTAATACTTCATTCTACTTACAGGGGAAGTTAAATTGCTCATCTCTAGACTTGCATCATGCTTATAATAAAAGTAAAAAGAAACCAGTTCACTCAGTGGCATTTGATAGAGACATTTAGATAGAACACAGTGATAGCCTTGTGCATGTTTGTGTATGTGTGCAAGTGTGTATGTGTGTGTTCATTTTTTAAACTGTTACTTTAGAGAAAAGGAAAAATGGTTTGGAGCATTCTCCTCCCCCCAAGGAAGTGTGTGATATTCATGCTAGAAGAATGAGATCCAGTTCTTCCCAGTAAAATACTCATGAATTGGTCAGAAGTGAACACTTTTCAATTGTATCTGTATAATCAATTATCAACCATTAACATTTGGGGAACATGTTCCTAATAAAGGCTACTGTAGTAAGTAAAGCAAGAATCAGTACTAAAAAATAATGGCTAAATGGAGAATACATGCAAAAGAGAGTGTTGACATTGTTTCTTTTTTTTTTTTTTTTTTTTTTTGAGACAGAGTTTCGCTCTTGTTGCCCAGGCTGGCGTACAATGGTGCGATCTCGGCTCACTGCTACCTCCACCTCCCGGGTTCAAGCAATTCTCCTGCCTCAGCCTCCAGAGTAGCTGGGATTACAGGCATGCACCACCAGGCCCAGCTAATTTTTGTATTTTTAGTAGAGACGGGGTTTCTCCATGTTGATCAGGCTGGTCTTGAACTCCTGACCTCAGGTGATCTGCCCACCTCACCCTCCCAAAGTGCTGGGATTACAGGCATGAGCCGACGTTATTTCTTAATGTATAGAGACTAAGACTTGTTTATATTAACAATCACTGAGAAAAAATATATAGATATCATTTCCAGTGCCAGATGAATAAATAAATAAACCGCTGAACTGGGAGAAGGAACATTTAATGATATATGTCATACCTTATGTTAGATTTTTCTTGAATAGGTATTAGTGACTATTGGGAAGAACCTAATAGAAAATGTATGTTTAAGATAAAAATGTATTTTGAAAAGTATTAAGTGAAATTTTAAAAATTTCCTCATTCTTTTAACACAAAGCAGTTGGCTTCATTTCTCTTGTTTCTTTATGGTCCTTATCCATACATTTGTGCATAAATTTACATAGTTGATAGTGTACACATAATTTTGTATTTTACATTTTTGCTGTGTAACCCCTAATTTTTTTCACATTGCTTTTTATATTATTGATTGCTATGTAATAGTCTATCAAATATTCCATAATTTAATACGTAACCATTCCCTTGATACTGGACTTGTAGGTTGTTTTTAATTCACTGGCTTTATAAATAGTACTACTTTAAATATTTTATATATGTAACTGTTTTTTGCTAATCAGTTATGTCCCCAGGATAGATGCCCAGAGGTGGAGTAATAGATGTGCATGTTTTCATGGCTCTTCAAGTATATTGCCAAGTTATTTTCCTAAGGGATCATCTCACTGTATGGTGCTTTTAGAAATAGAGGTGTATATCAGTTTCAAGTAGTAATAGCTAACATTAGGTTTTTGAATTTTTAGAAATGCTAATTTATTAGGTGTAAATTTATGCCTCATTTTCATTTAAATTTCTTTGATAACTGGCAAAATAGTTGTATCTTTTCTGTGAGTCAGCATATTATTTATATTTCCTATATTGCACCTTATCTGTTAACTTTTTTTTACCAAATCATCTTTTGGGTGTTGATGGTGTTCTTATAGCTCATTAGTTTTATATGTATTTTAAAATATTAAGATTTTTCCATCTTGTAAATATTTTCACTTTTTTCAATTTTTACTTTTTTTTTGTAAAGCGGTTTTTAAAAGTAAACTAACAGCACAGCTAAAAGATAATATACCAGAGATGCAAAGATGGTTCAACATTTACAAATCTGTAAATGAAATACATCACATAAACAGAATCAAGGAAGAAACCATAATCATCTCAGTAGATGGCAGAAAAAGCATTTCTTAAAATTCAGTATTCCTTTTTTTTTTAATTTGAGACGGAGTTTCGCTCTGTTGCCCAGGCTGGAGTCCAGTGGCGCCATCTCGGCTTACTGCAACCTCCGCCTTCTGGGTTCAAGAGATTCTCTGGCCTCAGCCTCCTGAGTAGCTGGGATTACAGGTGCATACCACCACATCTGGCTAATTTTTTGTTATTTTAGTAGAGATGGGGTTTCACCATGTTGGCCAGGCTGGTCTCAAACTCCTGACCTCAAGTGATCTGCCTGCCTCAGCCTCTCAAAGTGCTGGGATAATAGGCGTGAGCCACCATGCCCGGCTTCAGCATTCCTTTTTGGTAAAAATCCTCAACAAATTGGGCATAGAAGGAACATATCTCAAAATAATAAAGGGCATGTATGATAAACCTACAGCTAGTGTCATATTGAATGAGGGAAAGCTGAAAACATTTCTTCTAAGAACTGGAGCAAGACAAGAGAGTGCCTGCTTTCACTCCTATTCAACATAGTAATGGAAATCCTAGCGAGAGTGGTCAGATGAGAGAAGAAATAAAAGGCATCCAAATTGGAAAAGAGGAAGTCAAATTATCTCTGTTTGCTGATGATATGGTCTTATACCTAGAAAATTCTAAAGACTCCTCCAAAGGACTCCTAGATTTTTGATAAATGAATTCAGTAAAGTTTCAGGTTACAAAATCAAAGTACAAAAATTAGTAGCATTTCTGTACACCAAAAGTGAGCAAGCTAAGATAAAATCAAGAAGCCAATAATAGCTACAAAAAAACCCCCAAAATCTAGGAATATATTTAACCAAGGAGGTGAAAGATCTCTACATAGAAAACTACAGAACACTTAGGAAATTGTAGATGACACAAACAAGTAGAAAAATAGCCTGTGCTCATGGACTGTAAAAAACAATATTGTTAAAATGATCATACTGCTGAAAGCAACCTACAGATTCAGTGTAATCTCCATGAAAATACCAATATCATTTTCACAGAAATAAAAAATAATCCTAAAATTCATATGGAACCAAAAAGAGTGCAGATAGCCACAGTAGTCCTGAGCAAAAAGAACAAAGCTGGAGACATCATGTTACCTGATGTAAATTACATTGCAAGGTTCTAGTAACCAAAACAGCATTGTACGGGTATAAAAATAGACAAACAGACCAAAGGAACAGAATAGAAAACCCAGAAATAAATCTACATATTTATAGCCAACTGATCTTTGACAAAGCTGACAAGAACATGCATTGGGAAAAGGACACCCTCTACTATAAACAGTGCTGGGATAAATGAATGTTCATATGCAGCAGAATAAAACTGGACCCGTATCTCTAACCATATAAAAAATCAACTCAAGATGAATTAAAAACTTAAATGTAATACCCACAACTATAAAAATAATAGGGGAAAACAGCAAAAACTCTTTTGGACATTGGTCTAGGCAAAAAATTTATGAGTAAGACCTCAAGGCTGGGTGTGGTGGCTCATGTCTGTTATCCCAGCACTTTGGGAGGTTGAGGTGGGCAGATCACCTGAGGTCAGGAGTTCAAGACCAGCCTGCCCAACATGGCAAAAGCCTGTCTCTACTTAAAATACAAAAAATTAGCTAGACGTGGTGGCAGCCGCCTGTAATCCCAGCTACTCAGGAGGCTGAGGCAGGAGGATTGCTTGAACCTGGGAGGTAGAGGTTGCAGTGAGCCGAGATCACACCACTGCACTCCAGCCTGGGTGACGAGTGAAACTCCATCTAAAAAAAAAAAAAAAAACTGAAAAGCACAGGCAACAATAACAAAAATAGACAAATGGGACTTACTGAAGTCCTAAAGTACTAAAAAGCTTATGCACAACAAAAGAAGCACCAGCAGAGTGAAGAGACAATCTGTAGAATGTGTAGAATTGGAGAAAATAATTGCAAATTATCCATCTGATAGGGGACTAATAACCAAAATATACAAGGAACTCAACTCAACAACAAAACTCAGAAACAATCCCATTAACAAGTGGTTAAAGACATAAATAGGTATTTTTCAAAAGAAGACGTGCAAATGGCCAACAGGTATACAAAAAAATGATCGGCCAGGCGTGGTGGTTCACGCCTATAGTCCCAGCACTTTGGGAGGCTGAGGCTGGTGGATCACCTGAGGTCAGGAGTTTGAGACCAGCCTGGCCAATATGACAAAACCCTGTCTCTACTAAAAATACAAAAATTAGCTGGGTGTGGTGGCGGGCACCTGTAATCCCAGCTACTCAGGAGGCTAAGGCAGGAGCCTGAACCTGGGAGGTGGAGGTTGCAGTGAGCTGATATGGTGCCACTGCACTTCAGCCTGGGTGACAGAGCAAGACTTCATCTCAAGAAAGAAAGAAAAAGAAAAAATGCTCAACATCACTAATTATCACAGAAATTTAAATTAAAACCACAATGAAATATCTTACCTCTGTCAGATTGGCTATTAATAAAAATATATATTTTAAAAAAACATTTTGGTGAGGCTGTGCAGAAAAGAACTCTTAACACACTGTTGGTAGGATTATAAATAAGTACAGCCTCTGTGGTAAATAGTATGGAGATTTCTCAAAGAACTAAAAATAGAATGTCCATTCAATCCAGCAAACCCATTACTGGGTATATACCCCAGAGGAAAATAAATCATTATATCAAAAAGATACTTGCACTAGTATGTTTATAATGGCACTATTCACAATAGCAAAGATATGAAATCAACTTAAGTGTCCATCAGTGGATGAATGGATAAAGAAAATGCTTTGGAAGGCCAACGTGAAAGGATCACTTGAGCCCAGGAATTCAAGACCAGCCTGGGCAACATAGAGAGACCCCATCTCTAAAACAACAGCAAAAGATTAGCTGGGCATGGTGGCACACACCTGTGGTCCCAGCAACTCAGGAGGCTGAGGTGGGAGGATCAGTTGAGCCCAGGAGGTCTTGGCTGCAGTGAGCTGTGATAGTGCCACTGCATTCCAGCCTGGGCGACAAAGCAAGATCGTGTTTAAAATAATAATAATAATAATAATAATAATAATAATAATAATAATAATAATGAAATATGAATAAATTGAAAAAATAAAGGAAAATGTGCTATATATACATAATCAAGTACTATTCAGCCATAAAAAAAATGAAGTCATGTTATTTGCAGCAATACGGATGGAACTGGAGGTCATTATCTTAAGTAAAACAAGCCAGGTACAGAAAGTCAAATATCACATTTTCTCATGAACTCATAAGTGGGTGCTACAAAATGTGGACATCTGGATGTAGAGAGTGGAATGGTAGACAGTGGAGACTCAGAAGGGTGAGGCTGTGGGAGGGGAATGGATGTTGAGAAATTACTTAATGAGTACAGTGTATCATATTTGGGTGTTGTATGCCCTGAAAACCCTGCCTTGACCACTATGCAATCTTTGCATGTAACAAAATTGCACACATAGCCCATGAATTTGTATGAGTAACAAAATAGTTTTAAAAAAATGTATTTTGCTTATGTACTTAGCTGTGTTTCTTTGGCCATTAAGGAACTCAAATATTTGTTAGATGAATGAGTGGATTTTCTTTCTGGTAGTTATTTATTTTCCCCTCTCTTTCTCTGGCTCTTGCTGTCCTTCTCTTTTTGTTTGTTTCATTCATTTATTCATTTTTATTGGCAAATAATTTTGTATATTCAAGGCGTACAATGTCATGTTTTGATCTATGTATACATTACAGAAAGATTAAACCAAACTAATTAGCATATCCATCACCTCACCAACATTTTCTTGTGGTGAGAACATTACAAATCTATTCTTTTAGCAATTTTGAAATACACATTTTATTATTATTAACTGTGGTCACCATGTAGTACAGTAAATCTCAAAACTTGTTGCTCCAGTCTAACTGAAACTTTGTGCCCTTTGATCAGCATCTCCCCTTTCCTCACCCCTCTCCTTTCCTTGTATCCTGTGGTAACTACCTTTCTACTCTGTTTTTATGAAATCAACTTTTTTAGCTTCTACATAAATGATATCAACCAGTATTTGTTTTTCTGTGCTTGGCTTATTTCACTTAGCATAATGTCTTCTAATTTCATCCAAGTTGTTGTGAATGGCATAATTTCCAATTTCTTTCCTTTATAAGACTTAATGATTTTTGCGTGTGTGTGTGTGTGTGTGTGTGTGTGTGTGTGTGTATAAAACACATTGATTCATTCATCTGATGGACACTTAGATTGCAATCATATCTTGGCTATTGTGACTAATGCTGCAACGAACATGAGAGTGCAGACATCTCTTTGACATTGATTTCAATCCCTTTGGATATATATCCAGAAGTAGGATTACTGGATCATATGGTATTTCCATTTTCAATTTCTTGAGGAACCTCCATACTATTTTCCAAAATGTTTCAATTTACATTGCTGCCAACAGTATGCAAGACTTTTCCTTTTCTCTATGTCCTTACCAACACAGATTAGTATTTGTCTTTTTTATAATACCCATTCTAACAGGTGTGAAGTGATATATCATTGTTCCTTTAATTTGCATGTCCCTGATGACTGGAGATGTTGAGCATTTTTTCGTATATCCATTGGCCATTTGTATGTCGTCTTTTGAGAAATGTTTGTTCAGACCTTTTGCCCATTTTTAATTACATTTTTTTTTTGCTATTGAGTTTCTTATATATTTTAGATATTAACCCCTTATCAGATAGATGGTATGCAGGTATTTTCTCCCAATCTGTGAGTTGTATCATCTGTCTGCTAATCATTTCCTTTGCTGTACAGAAGCTTTTTAGTTTGATACTATCCCATTTGTCTATTTGTGATTTTGTTGCCTGTGTTTGGAGTCCTACCCAAGAAATCATTGGCTAGAACAATGTTCTGAAGCTTTTCCCTTATGTTTTCTTCTAGGAACCTTACTGTTTGATATCTTCTGTTTAAATCTTTGATTCATTTTGAGTTGGTTTTTGTACATGTTAGGAGAATAGGGTTCAATTTCATTCTTTTGCATGTAGATATCCAGTTTCCCAGCACCACTTATTGAAGAAACTGTCCTTTCCCCATTGTGTGTTCTTGGAATCTATGTTGAATATTGTTTTATTTTAAATGCTTGGGTGAATTTCTGGACTTTATATCCTGTTCCCTTGGTTGATGTGTCTGTTTCTACGTCAGTATCATGCTGTTTCTATTAAATAAGCTTTATCATACATTTTAAAATCAGGGAGCATGATGCCTCTAGCTTCATTGTTTTTGCATAAGAGTGTTTTAGCTGTTTGGGGTCTTTTCTGGTTTCACTTGAATTTTAGGATTTTTTTTCTATTTATGTGAAAAATGTCATTGAAATTTTCATAGAGATTGCATTAGATCTGTAAATGTTGTTGGGTAGAATGGACATTTTTGACATTGAGCTGCTGAATGGATGAAAAACCATGACCCAATAATATGCTGCCTACAGGAGACTCATCATCTCTAAGGACACCCATAGACTGAAAATGGAGAGATGGAAAATATGTTCCATACAAATGGAATCCAAAAGAGAACAGGAGTAGTTTTCTTTATATCAGATATAAGAGAATTTAAAAAGTGAATAGTGACAAAAAACGTCATATGTAATGATAGAGATGTTAGTTCATCAAGAAGTTTGGCAGTTGTAAATATATATGCACCCAACATTGGAGCACCTAAATATACAAGGCATATATAATAAAAACTGAAGGGAGGGAGGGAGGAAGAGAGAGAGAGACACTGCAACTGCAATACAATAATAGGAGACATCAATACCTCACTTTCAACATCGGACAGATTATGTAGACAGAAAATCAATAAGGAAACATTGTACTTAAACCACATTTCAGACTAATTGGTCCTAATAGACATTTATAGAACATTTCAGCTCAAGTACATGTGGAGTATTCTCCAGGATAGATCGTATTTTAGGACACAAAGCAAGTCTTAACAAATTTAAGAAGATTGAAATAATATTAAGCATCTTTTCTAATTACAATGGCATGAGACTAAAAATAACAGGAGTAATCTTGGAAGGCTCACAGATGTATGCAAATTAAGCAACATACTTTTGAAAAACCATGAGTCAAAGAATAAATTAAAAGGGAAACTGAGGCAAATGAAAATGGAAACACAACCTACCAAAACTTATGGGATGCAGCAAAAACAGCCCGGAGAGGTAAGTTTATAGCAATAAACATTAAAAAAGAGAAAATATTAACATTGAACCTCAAGGAACTAGAAAAAGATGAACAAAGTATGCCCAACCTTAGCAGAAGGAAGGAATAAGGAAGATTGGAGCAGAAATAGACAAGATAGAGACTTGAAAAACAGCAGAAAAGATTAACAAATCTTAAAGTTGGTTTGTTAAAAAGGTAAACAATATTGACAAATTTTTAGGTAGACTTAGGAAAAAAAACAAAAGAAAAGACTCAGAATCAGAGATGAAAGTGGAAACTGAACAGACAAATAACAAGTAATGAGATTGAGTCGGTAATAAAAAGTCTTCCATCAAATAAAAGCTTAGGACCAAATGGCTTTTCTGTTGAATTCTACCAAACATTTAAAGCAGAACTTACACTAATGTTTTTCAAACTCTTCCAAAAAATTGAAGAGGAGAGAATACTTTCAAATTCATTTTATGAGGTGAGCATTACCCTGATACCAAATTCAGGCAGTGTTAATACAGGGAAACTAAAGGCCAATATCCCTTTTGAGAATAGATGCAAAAGGCTGGGTGCAGTGGCTCATGCCTGTAATCCCAGCACTTTGGGAGGCCGAGGTGGGCAGATCACCAAACCTGTGTGATCATTTCAATAGATGCAGAAATAGTATTTGACAAAATTCAACATGTATTCATGATAAAATCTCAACATAAGAGGTATAGAAGGAATGTATCTCGGCTGGGCATGGTGGCTCATGCCTGTAACACCAGCACTTTGGGAGGCTGAGGTGGGCGAATCATCTGAGGTCAGGAGTTCAAGACCAGCGTGACTAACATGTTGAAACTCCATCTCTAATAAAAAGATGCCCATTCTCGCCACTTATATTCAATGTAGCACAGGAAGTCTGAGCCAGTGCATTTAGGCCAGAAAATGAAAGAAACAAATGAAAATGAAAGAAACAAAATGCATCCATATAGTAAAAGAAGGAGTGAAATTTTCTGTTTTCTGATGACATGATCTTATATGTAGAAAACCCTAAAAATCCACCAAAAGAACCCTCTTATAACTGATATACAAATTGAGTAATGTTGCAGATTACAAAATGAACTTGACAATCTACATTGTTTCTATACTCTAACAATGAACTATCCAAAGAACTCAGTGAAACAATTCCATTTACGATAGAATCTAAGAAAGTACTTTGGAGTAAATTTAAGTATAGGTGAAAGAGCTGTATAGTGAAAACTATAAAACATTGATGAAAGAAATTGAAGATTCAAATAAATGGAAAGATATCCCATGTTCATGGATTTGCTTTCTATCTCCTGCAGCTCCCCTTCTCAAAATTGCTTTTCTGTTTTGTTTTTTTTTTCCCCTTCTATTGGTAATGATGTTTTTTGCTTTTATACTGCAAGCAGTGATTTTAATCTGGGGCAGTTTCTTACCCTAGACAACATCTAGAGATATTTTTGTTTGTCACGACTTAGTGTGGGGGGGATCCTACTAGCATGTAGTGGGGACAGGTGAGGGATGCTGCAAAACACCCTGCAATGGAAAGTCCCCACAGCAAAGAATCATTCAACGGAGAATATCAATAGTTTAAAGGTTGAGAAGCCCTGCCTTAAAGTAACCTTTCTCCCCTGCATCTACCTGCAAAGTATGAAGAGACAAAAGCCAAGCAGAAGTAATGGTTGATTGTTTTAAGGAACTCAGAGCAGTAAGAAATGTTTCACTGGAGAAGGAAGATTTCTGAAGTCCCAAATTAGGGTACCAGTCCTTCCTATCTTGGAGTCATGGGATTTTCTTGTGGTTGAGATGGGAACACCTGCCAAAAAGAAATCCTCTTGCCTGATACTGATGCTTATGCAGTTCCTCCCATTATTTACTCAGCATCTTGCAGTATTACATAACTACTCAGGTCTCTTATGTGTTCTAATTGTTTATATTCAACATGTCACTGATTTTGCTATTCATTATTCATTTTTTGTCATTTTGTCAGTTAAAATGGCCAGTGGATCTGCCTTTGCCTGAAAGAAAGACTTCATTGCTCTTAAAATTGTGAGATGTTGAAAGATTTCATATTTTTGATTGTGGCATGGTTCTAATCATACTAATCTAGCTAGAACTCAGTTCTTGCTTTAATCTTGCCCTGCTTGAACATGAAGCTATTTTCATTTTGTACTATATTATTTATGCAGTATGGTAAAATGTCACTTTGCCTCAAGGTGACCTTTGAAGTTATAGGGAGCCTATGTTTTGATTAAAATACATTGTGTGGGGTGTTAAGCACTTTTAGTGTATAAGGGAAGATGAAGGATTTCACAGGGCAAGTGGGTGGCTGTAAATTTTTACATAGAGATCAAGATTTGTTTTTTAGCATGAGCAGAATCCACGTGGTATTTGGAGAAGAATTGTGTAGACTTATGCTATGTTATGGCTTTTTTTTTAAGAAAATGCAGAACAAGGCAAAGCGAACAAGAAAAAAAAATGAGATAGGACTTAAAATGACTTCATAGGAGATGAAGCCTTTAAAGTTCATTGTTAACTACAGGGAGAGCCTCTAAATTCAGAAACCAAAAGGAAAGAACCCATAGACAAACCTAGGTTGTTTGTAACATAAAATATTTGTAACATCATAGATTTCCTTATCTTTTCACTGTATAGTTTTTTTTTACTTGTATTACTCTTGAATTTTTAGGGGCAGTCATACATATGGTGGATAGGTGTGAGGAGGTAGGACAATAATTTATGAAATTCCTGTATAATTTTTTAGAGGAATATACTTAACCAAGTACAGTTTTATTCTAAAATTTCTTCATGTTATAGAAAGATTTACCTATATATTTAAAATGACAGTCTCTTTGACTATAGCGTACCAAGAAAGGCAAAAGGAGAATGTGCTTGAGAAACCACAGTAAGCCAAGCAGAATATCAGTCCCTTGGGATTTAATGGAAGAGTATTCTTGGTGCTTTCTTGTAGTAAACTGGAGTTCATAAAATCATGAACTATGTAAGGGAATTTAGACTTCTCACAGGGCAGAATTGCTATAATATATGTACTCTGTTTTGTCTCATCTTAATATTTATGACTTAATTTCATGAAATCAGTTTCACTTTTAAGTTTTAAGTTAATTTCGTATTTTTTTCAGTGAATATCACCTCTGCCAGGCAATTAACCGGCTGTAGTCGCTTTGGTCATATTTTCCCTTCATCTGCTTACCAGCACATTAAGATGCATAAGAGAATTCTGGGGCACTTGTCATCTGTCTACTGTGTAGCATTTGACCGAAGCGGGAGAAGAATTTTTACAGTGAGTGTAAAATTTATAATATGGTAACATATATAGAATTACAACAATTGAAGCCAGACTGCATGGCATTGCATTGTGCTTTGTAAGCAGTTCACTTTTTTTGGATATATGGGTGCAGAAAAAGATGAGTGGAAATTGAAAAAAGTTTCTCATTTTATATAAGTAAACGAATGAACAAAAATGTTTACTATCTTCTTGGAAGTTTAATTTTAAAAAGTTAAATCTTCAGAAGACCTTATATTCTAGAAGTGGTTAATTTATGTGAAACAAGTGTACTCAATTTCATTTCATTCAGTTTTAACAAACATTTATTAAATGTTTGTTAATGTGTCACTCAGTGTAATTGCTGCCAGTTTTCCCTAAATAATGATTTCATCACTTTTTTTGATTAGATAGTTGAACTACACTGTGATGAAGATTATAGCTATTTTTTATATCTTTTTTTTGGTTTCAGTACTGGTTATTTTTTAAGCTGAATTTTTATTAAGCAGATAATACTGTATGCTTTTGAGTACAAAATTGTAGTACACCAGTATTTCCAAAAGAAAGCTTAATCTCATTGCTTTAGTATTAACATAGAAGTGTGGATAATAGCATAATTTTATTTTTATATTTGTATGCTACAACGAATGAAGTGGAAGTTATTCGGGAAGTTATTACACCTTAGAGTTTATTTTGGACTCTTCCATTAATGACTTAATGGCTCTAAATGCGTCACATAAGTATTTGGATGTTAGTGATCATGATGAGGATGATGAATGCTATGTTTTAATAAATAGATAATTGTTAAGTAACTTTTCTACCATAGTAGAGTAGAATTGCTTTTTACTGTTCACTCTTCTGAAATTCTCAAAAGGAAGTTTAATATATTTTTACCAGAAATTATCATTAACGGGTAGCCTCATGTTTACTGAGAAATGCATGTAGACTTTAGGTTAAATTCTGAATAATTTGTGGAAAAAATATTTAAATAATTTAGAAAAAAGGCTGTCAAGCCTAAAGAAAGAAATGATGGTAAAAATACTTAATGCCAAATCACTAAAAAGTGAGTTTAAAATATTTTGCATTGTCAGTATTGGTGGTAATTTTGAAAAGTTCTTCACAAATGCCATTGTCACTTTGGACAATGCTTTGTTATTGCTATCATTTGGACATCATTTATACTTGCTACTGGATCCCTATTATATGTAGAGAGGAGACTAGAAAGTAAAGGCTTAGAAGTAATTTAATAAAATCTTCTTTTTGGCTATTTTTTGGGTGGGGGTATTGTGAATTTCTGCTTCATTATAAACCTATTGTCCTTTTGTTACTATAGGGTTCAGATGACTGTTTAGTAAAAATTTGGGCTACAGATGATGGACGCCTTCTTGCTACACTTCGTGGACACTCTGCTGAAATTTCTGACATGGCTGTTAACTATGAAAACACTCTTATTGCTGCAGGCAGCTGTGATAAGGTAGTAAGAGTATGGTGTCTTCGAACTTGTGCACCCGTTGCAGTCCTTCAGGGCCATTCAGCTTCTATTACTTCCATACAGGTAAGAAAAGTGATAAAATTTAGCTTGAACATATGTAAAAAAGGTGAGAATTCTCTGATTTCATGTTACATTGTATAGATAATAGCCCAAAGAATAACAAGAGAAAAATGCTCTCTTCTGGACTTTGCTCCTACCCTGCAGCAAGATATTTTTTTAAGTTCCTTTTTCATATGATTATCTTTTTTAATAAATAACTAAAAAGATGATTTAAAAAGTTCTATAAATAGAGTGAGATATCTTATTTGTATTTGTTAAGAAGGGAGAAAACCTGTAAATGCCTTAAGAGCACACTCTTTCCTATTAGGATATAAATGAGTTCTACCATCAGAGAATACCTTAAACACCTCTATGCAAATAAACTAGAAAATCTAGAAGAAATGGATAAATTCCTCGACACATACACCCTCCCAAGACAAAACCAGGAAGAACTTGAATCTCTGAATAGACCAATAACAGGCTCGGAAATTGAGGCAATAATTAATAGCTTACCAACCAAAAAAAGTCCAGGACCAGATGGATTCACAGCCGAATTCTACCAGAGGTGCAAGGAGGAGCTGGTACCATTCCTTCTGAAACTATTCCAATCAATAGAAAAAGAGGGAATCCTCCCTAACTCATTTTATGAGGCCAGCATCATCCTGATATCAAAGCCTGTCAGAGACATAACAAAAAAAGAGAATTTTAGACCAATATCCTTGATGAACATCGATGCAAAAATCCTCAATAAAATACTGGCAAACCAAATCCAGCAGCACATCAAAAAGCTTATCCACCATGATCAAGTGGACTTCATCCCTGGGATGCACGGCTGGTTCAACATATGCAAATCAATAAACATAATCCCGCATATAAACAGAACCAAAGACAAGAACCATATGATTATCTCAATAGATGCAGAAAAGGCCTTTGACAAAATTCAACAACGCTTCATGCTAAAAACTCTCAATAAATTAGGTATTCATGGGATGTATCTCAAAATAATAAGAGCTATCTGTGACAAACCCACAGCCAATATCACACTGAATGGACAAAAACTGGAAGCATTCCCTTTGAAAACTGGCACAAGACAGGGATACCCTCTCTCACCACTCCTATTCAACATAGTGCTGGAAGTTCTGGCCAGGGCAATCAGGCAGGAGAAGGAAATAAAGGGTATTCAATTAGGAAAAGAGGAAGTCAAATTGTCCCTGTTTGCAGATGACATGATTGTATATTTAGAAAACTCCATCGTCTCAGCCCAAAATCTCCTTAAGCTGATAAGCAACTTCAGCAAAGTCTCAGGATACAAAATCAATGTGCAGAAATCAAGCATTCCTATACACCAATAACAGACAAACAGAGAGCCAAATCATGAGTAAACTCCCATTCACAATTGCTTCAAAGAGAATAAAATACCTAGGAATCCAACTTACAAGGGATGTGAAGGACCTCTTCAAGGAGAACTGCAAACCACTGCTCAATGAAATAAAAGAGGATACAAACAAATGGAAGAACATTCCATGCTCATGGGTAGGAAGAATCAGTATCGTGAAAATGGCCATACTGTCCAAGGTAATTTATAGATTCAATGCCATCCCCATCAAGCTACCAATAACTTTCTTCACAGAATTGGAAAAAACTACAGAACCAAAAAAGAGCCCACATTGCCAAGTCAATCCTAAGCCAAAAGAACAAAGCCAGAGGCATCACACTACCTGACTTCAAACTATACTACAAGGCTACAGTAACCAAAACAGCATGGTACTGGTACTAAAACAGAAATATAGACCAATGGAACAGAACAGAGCACTCAGACATAATGCCACATATCTACAACCATCTGATCTTTGGCAAACCTGAGAAAAACAAGCAATGGGGAAAGGATTCCCTATTTAATAAATGGTGCTGGGAAAACTGGCTAGCCATATGTAGAAAGCTGAAGCTGGATCCCTTCCTTATACCTTATACAAAAATTAATTCAAGATGGATTAAAGACTTAAATGTTAGACCTGAAACCATAAAAACCCTAGAAGAAAACCTAGGCAATACCATTCAGGACATAGGCATGGGCAAGGACTTCATGTCTAAAACACCAAAAGCAATGGCAACAAAAGCCAGAATTGACAAATGCGATCTAATTAAACTAAAGAGCTTCTGCACAGCAAAAGAAACCACCATCAGAGTGAACAGGCAACCTACAGAATGGGAGAAAGTTTTTGCAACCTGCTCATCTGACAAAGGGCTAATATCCAGAATCTACAATGAACTCAAACAAATTTACAAGAAAAAAACAAACAACCCCGTCAAAAAGTAGGCGAAGGATATGAAGAGACACTTCTCAAAAGAAGACATTTATGCAGCCAAGAGACACATGAGAAACTGCTCATCATCACTGGCCATCAGAGAAATGCAAATCAAAACCACAGTGAGATACCATCTCACACCAGTTAGAATGGCAATCATTAAAAAGTCAGGAAACAACAGGTGCTGGAGAGGATATGGAGAAATAGGAACACTTTTACACTGTTGGTGGGACTGTAAACTAGTTCAACCATTGTGGAAGTCAGTGTGGCCATTCCTCATGCATTTGGAACTAGAAATACCATTTGACCCAGCCATCCCATTACTGGGTATATACCCAAAGGATTATAAATCATGCTGCTCTAAAGACACACGCACACAGATGTTTATTGCAGTACTATTCACAATAGCAAAGACTTGGAACCAACCCAAATGTCCAACAATGATAGACTGGATTAAGAAAATGTGGCACATATACACCATGGAATACTATGCAGCCATACAAAGTGATGAGTTCATGTCCTTTGCAGGGACATGGATGAAGCTGGAAACCATCATTCTCTGCAAACTATCGCAAGGACAAAAAACCGAACACCGCATGTTCTCACTCATAGGTGGGAATTGAACAATGAGAACACCTGGACACAGGAAGGGGAACATCACACACCAGGGCCTGTTGTGGGGTGGGGGAGGGGGGATGGATAGCAGTAGGAGATATACCTAATGTTAAATGATGAGTTAATGGGTGCAGCACACCAACATGGCACATGTATACGTATGTAACAAACCTGCATGTTGTGCACATGTACTCTAAAACTTAAAGTATAATTTAAAAAAAGAATATAAACAGGTTCTAACTTGAATATTGGCATACCTTGTATTAATATTTAATGCAAGATGTTTGCCAGTCAGAGTTAGTATGTGTGTGTCTGTGTTTAGGTTAATGTGAGGGACATTTTTATTCTTAGTTTCAGTGATTTTTTATTTCAATTTGATGTGTTTTGTTTTGTTTTGTTTTGTTGTCACCCATGCTGGAGTGCAGTGGTGGGATCTCGGCTCACTGCAGCCTCCACCTCCCAGGTTCAAGTGATCTTCCCACCTCCACCTCCTGAGTAGCTGGTACTACCGGCATGCGCCACCACATCCGGCTATATTTTGTATTTTTTTTGTAGAGACAGGGATTCGACATGTTGCCTAGGCTGGTCTCAAAGTCCTGGACTCAAGTGCGATCCTCTGGCTTTGGCTTCCCAAATTGCTGGGATTACAGGCACGTGAGCCACTGCACTCAGCCTCAATTTGATTTTTAATGTGGAATACGTTGGCTTCTTTTAATAATTGTCCACATAGTGGTTTTACCAGATGTTGGTAGTGAAAGTCATGGATAACTTAAAATATTTTTTATTTAATGAAACTAATGAAGATGAGCTTTTGTCCTCTTCTTTCTGTTGAGAGCAAAACAGAGAAATATTAAAATTTTTACACTTTGGAGAAAGAGACCACTTTTGGAGGAGATAATTATACCCATTTACTTTTGTTTATTCTTTAGGAAATAATAAGTATGCCATTTTTTGTGTTATTTAAATAATATATCATCTTTTTATGGGGAGCTAGCAAGAATTGGGTTCAGTGTGTGTTGAATTTGAAAAAAATTCATGTCAACATTTTGATTATTTGAAATTATTTCATGCATTTTGATTTGGGAGATTATCAGTTACTTGTGATCTCACTATCATATCTGACTGATTATTTCTGGAATTGGGACATACTGTCATATGCCATTGAAAAAAATCATTTGATTATCGTAGTCCCCCTTATCTGCGGTTTGGCTTTCCAAGGTTTCAGTTACCCACCATCAGCCATGGTTTGAAAATAGGTGAATGCAGTGCAATGACATACTTTGGGAAAGAGACCACATTCATATAACTTTTATTATAGTATATTGTTATAATTTTATAACATTATTATTAGGTATTATTTGTTAATTTCCTACTGTGCCTAATTTATAAATTAAGCTTATAGGTGTGTAGGCATAGGAAAAAACTTAGGGCTTGGTACTATTCAAGGTTTCAGGCATCCACTGGAGGTCTTGATATGTGTCCTCTGCAGATAAGGAGGGTCTACTAAATAATGAAAAATATTTATGATACTGTTGTTTTTTTCATAGTTTCATTTGCTTGTTTATTTTCTCATTTCTTTTACATATTGTAGTGCCTTAGAGATCTGTAGACCTCTCTATCATACTCTTTCTCTTAGTCATCTCATGGTTTTGAATTTAATCTGTAAACTGATGATTCTCAAACTTCCATCTCCATTTAGGATCTTTTAGCTCCATACTTGTTTATGCAACTATCTTCTTGGCATCATCACATGGATGTCTACTAGGTATTTCAAACTCATTATATTCATTATTGAACTATTTTTTCTTCCTTAGATCTTCTCCCCAAGCCTTTTCATCCAAACAAATGGCAATACCATGCTTTCAACTGCTCAGAGTAGATCATCCCTTTTATCTTTCTCTTATACTTTGTGTCTAACTTGTCAGCAAATCATGTTGGTTCTACCATCAAAGTGTATCTAGAATCTGGCAAATTCTCATGACCTCTGTTATTGCTGTCCTGTTTTAAGGCACTATCACCTGTGGTCTAGATTATTGAAATAGACTTCTAACCGATCTGCCTGCATCTTCCATTCCCTTTCCCCTGCACCCAGTTTAGTCTCTCAGTTTAACAGACAAAGTTATTTTAAAATGGCAGTTAAATTGTGTCACTGGTGCTCAGGACCATCAGTAGCTTCCAATCTCAGAGTTAAAGCTGAAGTCTTCACAGTGACTCACAGTGCTCTGTATTCTCAGCCTCCTTGGCGCTCTTCAATCTCATCTACTGCGTGTTTGTTTGCCTTTTTCACTCTGCTTACTGCTGGCCACTTTGCTTTTCTTGAACATTCTAGGTACATGGCTGCCTTTGCTCTTAACTGTTTCCTGTCTCTGGAGTGGTCTTCCCTGGATATTCACATAGTTTGTTTTCTCAGTTTCTATGTGCTTTGTGCACATGTCACCCTCTCAGGGAGACCTTCTCTGACTACCTTATTGCTCTGATTAAAATTGTAAACCACTGCCCCCCCCACCCCCTCCACTGTGTGCACAGCAACTCTGTATCTTCCCTTCTGTTTCATTTTTTTGTCTGTAGTAATAGTCATCTTTTGGTATTCTTTACATGTTCTTTATTATTTGTGTATTGGCTGTGTTTATTAACATCAGTGATATATTATTCTCCCACGTTTTGTATTTTTTTTAACAAAATATAGTTAAAGTGGTATGATGCTAATAGTGGTTACCACTGAATGGCAGAATTACGTGTTACTTTTTTTCTGTTTTTCCACATTTCCTAAGTTTTGTACAATAGGTATGTATTAAACAGTCCATAACATGTTTTCTCATTTAAAACAATTCTATTAAACAATCCGTAACCTGATTTTATTAAACAATCCATAACACGATTTTTTATTAAACAATCCATAACATGATTTCTCATTAAAACAATTCTATTAAGGCACATTAATGGGCCAGGTCCCCCTTTGTGATAGATGAAGCAATTTAAATGCAATGGAGATAAAGGTTTCAATATTTCTTCACTTTATAAAATTATACTATTTCATATTTAATTGTCTAATTCCTGTAGATCTGAGATCAGCAAATATACAGGCCAGATAGTAAATATTTAGGCTTAGCATGTCATACAATCTCTGTCACAACTGCTCAGCTCTGTTCCCATAGTGCAAAAGCAGCCATAGACAGTGTAAGGCGACTGTGTTCCAATAACACTATATTTACAGAAGCAGGCAATAAGCTGAATTTGGTGTGTTGGCCATAATTTGTGGATTACTGCTGTAGATTTTAGAGTAAGCTTTTGATGTTGTTGTTGAGACAGTCTTGCTGTGTAGCCCAGGCTGGAGTGCGGTGGTACGGTCTCAGCTAACTGCAACCTCTGCCTTCTGGCTTCAAGCAATTCTCATGCCTCAGCATCCTGAGTAGCTGGGATTACAGGCATGTGCCACCATGCCCAGCTAATTTTTTTATTTTTAATAGAGACGGGGTTTTGCCATATCGGCCAGTCTCGTTTCGAACTCCCGACCTCAGGTGATCTGCCTGCCTCGGCCTCCCAAAGTGCTGAGATTACAGGTGTGAGCCACTGCGCCCAGCCAGATTAAGCTTTTTAATGCAAATTTCTCAATCTCAGAAATGAAAATACAGTTTACCCTTTGTATCCGTAGATTCTGCATCTGTGGCTTCAACCAGCTGAGGAACAAAAGTCATTTGAAAAAAATTAACATTCGTACTGAACATGTACAGATTTTTTTCTTGTCATTATCCCTTAAGTAATATAGTATAACAACAAATTACTACAGCATTTACATTGTATTAGGTATTATCAGTAATCTAGAGATGATTTAATTTAAAGTATACAGGAGGATGTACATATGTTATCTGCAAATACCATACCATTTTATATCAGGGACTTGAGCATCTACTGATTTTAGTATCCATGGGAGGTCCTGGAAGCAATGTCTCAATGATACCAACGGAGGACTATATAGGCATGAGTCCTGGTTTCTTTACTGCACATCAGTTGTTAATGAATAATATTAATGAGTAATTTTTGTTTGAATTCATCTCTGTTGTCTTTAGAAGTTCTGTGCTTCCAAAGAAGCTAAGTAAATTACTTCAAATTTCTATAATGATAATTTTCTTTTGATTTGCATTCAAAATGTATTCAAACCCTATATATCTTAATCCTTAGTCATCATCTCAATGGAAATGTTTAATTATCTTCATTTGGGATTTTAAAAACTCACTGACATGCCAGAAACTCTTGTCCAATTTTCAGCTTTTTCCTGTGTCCCAGACATCAGGAGCTCAGTTGTTCTTTTCCCTTTTCTGTGATTCTTTTCTGAGGATATGTAAAATACTGAGAGTAAGAGCCTGAGAAGCCCACATGATAAAGGCCTTGATCCTTCTGACATAGTAGTAGTCCTCTGTATTGACAACTTTTTTTTTTTAACTTGATCTCCGTTTTCCCACAATGATATGATACGAATAACGATTTGAACTATTTTACATTATTTATGGAAACAAATGGCTTACATCTAAAAAAGACAAAATTATATACTTCAATTGAATGGAACTGGATTTTAAAGTGAAATAAATAATAAAACCAAATACTTGGATATTAACTTCCCAAGTGTTTTTAGATTTACTTCTAATCCTCTGCCCATCTGAACTATAAAAATTCCACAGTTGTTTCTATAAGTGTATATATAGCACATTTGTAAAGGTTTAAGTAGTAATGTGCTTGTGAGTTTATTCTCCACCGAAAGTGATTAAAAATCTTAAAGTGTAATGTTAAATAATTTAAAAGTAATTTTTTTATAACTAAAACATTTTACCCTAAGTTCAGTTACTTTTCCTATAGTTTTTTTGATATTTTAAATTTTTTATAAGGTATTTATTAATCTAGGAAAGTTAAATAGTCCCTTGAAACAAAAATTTTTAGCTGAATTTATTGAAATTATATTTGTTAAATGATTACAATTTGAAAATACTCCGTGTTTGATGTTAGGCTGAACATGAAAACTTTTTATTTGAATCAGATTTTTTTTTTTTTAAGTTTTGTCCATCAACTAAAGGCACAAACAGATACCTCACTTCTACTGGTGCTGATGGAACAATCTGTTTCTGGCAATGGCATGTAAAAACAATGAAGTTTAGGTAAGTTTAGAAATTTTGTGAAAAATTAAGCATGTTAATTTTTTATCTATTGCCTTGATTCTTAATAGTCCATGTATTTAAATATATATATTTACATATGTGTATGTGTATTTGTGTATACATATCCATACCTACTTCAATAGGTTGTTAAGAGATTTTAGGATAATTTTTTTTTTTTTTTTTTGAGACAGAGTCTCGCTCTGTTGCCCAGGCTGGAGTGCAGTGGTGTGATCTTGGCTCACTGCAAGCTCCGCCTTCCGGGTTCATGCCATTCTCCTGCCTCAGCCTCCCAAGCAGCTGGGACTACAGGCACCCGCCACTATGCCTGGCTAATTTTTTGTATTTTTAGTAGAGACAGGGTTTCACCGTGTTAGCCAGGATGGTCTCGATCTCCTGACCTTGTCCTTCCCAAGTGCTGGGATTACAGGCGTGAGCCACTGTGCCCAGCCAAAATTTTTTTGATATTAATGTTGAAGAGACAATTTATATAGAAAATCTTGGTAGGATTTTATTTGTTTCATTTCTTACTTTGGTAAGAAGATTTCTCATAATGGTAGTAGTAAGTAATATGGTTAATAAAACTATAGTAATAATACTGATATCATAAAGTATATTTGCAAGGTTAAATGCATTTTTAACCTAATTGATGAGAATAGTACTTATTGACCACGTTCCTTTTGTTTTTTCTATAATATTGATGCTAAATTGATCAGTATCCAGTAGTGCGCTAACATTCTGGCCCATTAGCCAAACATGATGAAACACAAAAACACCTTATTTTTATCTTTAGAGATCGCCCGGTGAAATTTACTGAGAGATCCAGACCTGGAGTCCAGATATCTTGTTCATCTTTCAGTTCTGGTATGTGTAAAACTGGAATGTTTTGAGCATCTAGAATATTTAACGATCCAGTTGTGAAAGTGATTTATGAAGAAAAAAGATACACATTTGAGTGTTAATTGAAGGATATCAAAAATCTGAACCATGTGTTATGATAGATAAACTCTTTTGGACTCTAAGTAATGTGTAAGGTTGATTTTTTTTTCCTTATTCATAATTTAATACATTTTTATATAATGGTGATTTTGCTTGGTAAAAAACAGACCCCCTACTCTAAATACCCACTAACAAAAAAGTTTACTGCCCCGCAATCAACACAAAAATTCTGCCCAGAGTTGACAAAAAAACATGTACTGTTGCTCCATATTGAAAACACTTTTACAGTGCTTTCTCTACTGCTAAGAATCCTACATTAGTTAACCTTTTTTTTTTTCCTTTTTTTGATTGTGGTGAAATATACAGAACCTAAAATTTTATCATTTTAGCCATTCTTAAGTGTACAGTATATTCACATTGGTCTGCATCTGTCACACCATCCATCTCTAAAACTTTTTCATCATCCCAAAAGCAGTTGACTTTTTACACTCAACCACTATAACCACAGTAAAGAGAATTGTAGATAAGTTGTCTTATAAATAATTTTGGAACATTGCATTTCTAAATAAAGAAATGCATTCCTCAGGATGTGTTCTTTAATGTTTATGATCATAGGCGGCCTGTATTCAGTGTATAGTTTGTAGATTTTGTTGGATGAATGATACAGTTTTACATTTTCTCTAAATCGCTAGTATGTCTCCAATAATTAGAAGACAACCTTGTGTTTCTTTAAGCCTTTTTACTAATGCAAGGTAGCATACAACTAAGGAAGTAATGAGAGGGTTTTTAAGGTTCCTTGGTACTATGTTTTGTTTTGTTTTTTAATCTTCTAGGTGGTATGTTCATTACAACTGGTAGTACTGACCATGTGATTAGAATATATTATTTGGGTTCTGAGGTTCCTGAGAAAATTGCTGAATTAGAGTCACATACGGTAAGAGAAAATCAGAAACGGTTGCTTTATTTTTGAACATCCTTGGAAAGCTTATTTCATTTCTTTTCTGATCTGTACCATAGTAACATATACAAATCACAAATTTTGGCTTACACTTTACTCTTGTCATTACTACTATACATACTATACTTGTAAAAGTATGGGTTAATTATTCTAAAAGAAGATTACCTATAGATTGTCAGATGATTCCATTGGAAAATAATTAAATAAATGATGTGGGAAACAGGAAATGATTGATTTATTTTCAAACATTAATAAAATTATGTGTAAAATTTAATGCAACTACTATTAAATTAACTATTTTAAGGTATTCTCTTATATTAGTGTGCTGTCTTATTATGGAGGACATAATAAACTAATATCTATTCAGAACTATTTGTCTCTTGAAATATGGTTTGTGAGGTTTCCCTATGTCTGGTTTGTTTCCTGTTACTGCCAATAGGTATTCCTCAATAGTTAGTACATTGTTTTGGGCTTCATTGAAATTAAAAAAAAAAAAAACTACTTCATGATGTTTTTGCCTATGAATTTGAGAGAAAGAGCACTTAATTCATTTTACAAATAAGTCCATTTTAACGAAAAATCTGTTTCATGTCTTAGGATAAAGTTGTTGCTGTTCAGTTCTGTAACAATGGAGACAGGTAATTATGTAATACATATTTGTGTAAACAAATGTTTGATATATTTTACTACCATTCCCTCAGATGCAGCTACTTCTATGATAGATACCTTATTTCTGTCCAGTTATTTAGGTTCAAAGCCCTTGTTTGTCTTTGATGACATCCTTAGCCATCACTTCCACAATCTCATCCAAGTAGTAACCATAGCCTATCAGGTCGTCCTTTCTGAGTGCTTTCTTCTTTGTTTATTTTGCTCTATTTCTGTTAGCACCCACGTCAGTCAAGTGTTCCATTATTTGACCTGTCCATCTCTGCCAGTGTAACATTGTTCTTTTTTTTTTTTTTTTGAGACGGTGTCTTGCTCTGTTGCCGAGGCTGGAGTGCGGTGGTGCGATCTTGGCTCACTGCAACCTCCATCTCCTGGGTTCAAGCGATTCTCCTGCCTCAGCCTCCCGAATAGCTGGGATTACAGGTGCATGCCACCACACCTGGCTAAGTTTTTGTATTTTTAGTAGAGACGGTGTTTCACCAGGATGGTCTTGATCTCCTGACCTTGTCATCTGCCCGCCTTGGCCTCCCAAAGTGCTGGGATTACAGGCGTGAGCCACCATGCCCGGCCAACATTGTTCTTTATAGAAATCTTTAGTGTTTCCTCTTCTCTGTCTATGGAATATAATTCAAATGTCTTAGCCTGGCATTCACAGCTTTTTACCACATGACTTAGAGCTACATTCTTTGCTACTATTCTCTATATGAATCCTTAGATCCAGCCTAATTGATGTACCCTGCTTCTGTTCACATCTCATCCATTCCTTTGCTTATACTTTTCCTCACATCATTTCTACCAAGAAATGCCACTTCCTACCTTCCCCTAACCTCTTTCTCTCTCTCTCCTACTTTCTTTCTCCTTTATTCTCTTCTCCCTGTCCTTTCTTTTTTTCCCCCTCTTCTTAACTAGGTCTTATCTTCCTTTTACGGTTCATGCCCTACCTGAAACCTTTCCTGAATGTTCCAGCTTTTAGTTGTCTTGACTTTCTCTGAATATCTGCATCACTCATTACTCCTGTATCCCTAAAGTCAGAAATTATATGCAGATATCCTTGCACTCTCTAAAATGTCTAATCCCAAAAAGATGGTGGCCAAAAAGGCTCTAGCCTAAAAGTTTACCTAGCATAATAGATTTAAAATTTTAAGCACCTAGCATAAATTTGTTTCAAATACAGGTTATTTCCTATCCAAAATGCTTGGTATACCGGAAGTGGATATTTTTACAGATTTTGGAATATTTGCATATGTATACTGAGATATGCTGGGAGATGGAACCCAAGTCTAAACACAGTTCATTTATGTTTCATATATACCTTATACACGTAGCCTGAAAGTAATTTTATACAATATTTTAAATAATTTTGTGCATGAAACAAAGTTTTGACTATTGGTGACCCATCACAAGAGGCCAGGTGTGGAATTTTTGACTTGTGTCATGTTGACACTCAAAACACTTTCAGATTTTAGAATTTTGGATTCAGCTAGCTCAACTTGTATGTCTATAAGGACTTTTTTTTTTTTTTTTTTTTTTTTTGAGACAGAGTCTCGCTCTGTCACCCAGGCTGGAGTGCAGTGGTGTGATCTCGGCTCACTGCAAGCTCCGCCTCCCGGGTTCACGCCATTCTCCTGCCTCAGCCTCCCAAGTAGCTGGGACTACAGGCCTCCGCCACCACGCCTGGCTAATTTTTTTGTATTTTTAGTAGAGACGGGGTTTCACCGTGTTAGCCAGGATGGTCTCAATCTCCTGACCTTGTGATCTGCCCGCCTCGGCCTCCCAAAGTGCTAGGATTACAGGCGTGAGCCACTGCGCCCGGCCTATAAGGACTTTATAGGATGATCATGTTTTATTTTTAAATAATTTTTTGACAGCAAATAATTACAGTGATAGAGTTGTTCATTTTTGTCCAATTTGAGAGTAAATAATGATAGTCTACAAACAGTGATGTCTGTATTAGGAATGAAAAAACCACCAAATAAATTTTAAGGTTGACTTGACTGCATTATACTGAGTTAGATGCTTGAACATTAGTATAGCTACTGTTCTTTCATGATGGAAGAACCTAAATTTTTAACTCCCTGTCTTTTTCCATTAAGGAGAAAATACATTATTGTGGTCTTAATTATTCGTGTGGCCAATAAACACATGAGGAGATGTCCAACTTTACTAATAATCAAAGAAATATTAATTAAAATAACAGTCACTTTTTTTTCTTTCAGAATGACAAGATAATGAAAAATGATAATCCCAATATTGCCAAGGGTTTTGGGAAAATGGACACTTCTACAACTTGTGATGAGATTATAAATTATTAAAAAAACTTTTCAGGGAAACAATTTGGCAGTATGTATCAAAAGCTTTAAAAATACACCTACTCTGACTCAGCAAAGATATGTATGAGGTTGTACAAAGATTATATAGAGATGTTCATCACAGCATTATTTATAATGGTGAAGATTGGAAACAACAGTTGATCATTAAGGGATTAATTGAAAAAATTTTGGTACATTCATATAGTTGAACACTTATTAAAAGTGATAGTAGTTTTGTACTTGTAAACATAGAAATAGATCTACGAAATACAGTTAAGCTAGGGAAAAACATATGTAGTTCAATTCAATTTTTTGTAGTAGAAAATATTGAAGTGTGTATGTCTGTATTTTATAAATTCTGAAAATAGAAACTGAAGTGTTAACAGTGACAGAAGTATGGGTGAATATGTATTCTTTTTAAATGACATCTTTATTGAGATATAATTTACATGACATAAAATTCATTGGTTTTTAGTATATTCATAGGGTTGTGCAACCATCACCACAGTCAATTTTAGAACATTTTCATTGGCCCTGAAAGAAAGCTCATACCCTTTAACTGTCAACCTCCAATTCTCCTATCCCTTCACTCCCAGCTCTTGGTAACCATTAATCTACTTTTTGTCTTTATAGGTTTGCCTATTCAAGATTCATCTGTGTTAACTGTGTCTTTCTTTCTTTCTTTCTTTCTTTCTTTCTTTCTTTCTTTCTTTCTTTCTTTCTTTCTTTTGCTAAATAATATTTCATTGTATGAATATGCTACATTTTGTTTATCCATTTATCCCGTTGATGGACATTTGGGTTGTTTCCACTTTTTGACTTATTATGAATAATGCTGCCATGAATATTCATGTACACATTTTTATGTGGACTTATGTTTTCATTACTCTTGGATATATACCCAGGAGTAGAATTTCTGGGTCATATGATAACTCTATGTTTAACATTTTGAAGAACTGCCAAGCTGTTTTCCAAAGTGACTGTACCATTTTACATTCCCCTCAGTAGTATGTGAGGGCTAATGTGTTACTTATATTATCAAAAAAAAGTGATTTACATTTTTGAGAAAATTAATAAAGTTATTTTAACTCTTTCTAGTTTAAGATTTGTTAGTGGAAGTCGAGATGGAACGGCAAGAATTTGGCAGTATCAGCAACAAGAATGGAAGAGTATAGTGCTAGACATGGCTACTAAAATGACTGGGTAAGAATATATGTTAGATGTTTATGTGGTTCTCATGATATATTTTACATTGAGTTTAATAGTGAATATAAAATATCTTTTTACATTAATAAATAGTTTGAAGTTAATTGTAGACATGAAGTTTGCATCTGTACAGCCTCTAAGCAAATCTTCGTTACTGTTGATTGACAGAGTGGATGACAGGAACATTGCTGATTCATTTGATATTCTGGTCTTTTGTGACTCAAAGATCTCTGTGTTCTACTGATGCCTACAGAGCCATTCTCTGCCTTAGTTTTTTATAGGTCATTAAAAAATATATCTATTTTACTTTCTACCTTGAGAGTTGTCCCTATTAAATGTCATCATATGTTTAACTTTTTCTCTAATTTTCTAAGGACACTTTTATAATATTTTTCCTACTCAGTAATAAATATCCACTTAATCAGCATTTAGTTTTGTCATCTTCACTGTTGATTGGAAGATACATAATTACCTCTTTGGGACACTACAGCTTCTTTAGGGTATGGTCCTGAAATCAACTATCTTTCCATTAGTTGCAATATAGAAATGACTTTTTCATCATAGTCGCCCATTGATAATGTCATATTTAATTACATAAAAATGGTACTAAATCTGCTTTTTTATAAGACCTATGGGTTTTTAAAAACATTCATATTTAAGATAATAAATTGGCCATTATGTTTTCATATTTTCTGACAACCAATATAAGTATGAATTTTATTTTTCAAGGTATTTATAGATTTCTTAGTAGTTTTTGGTTCTCAAGGAACTATTTACCAAATTTTTGTCATTTTAGGGTCTTTTTTTCTCCCTGAAATAAGCTAATGGGTATTGCCCTATGCAGATATATTTATTTTTTTCTTTCATGAATACTTAACGGTATAGTTTAGGATTTTTAAATCTAAACAGTTGTATACTCCTGGAGAAATTTTGTCATAATTTGCTATTTAACATGCACCTTTGTCAAAAATTTATAAGATATGAATACTGCAAATTGTTTTGTTTAGCAATAATTTGCCATCTGGAGAAGACAAGATCACTAAACTTAAGGTGACTATGGTGGCCTGGGATCGCTATGATACCACAGTTATTACTGCAGTGAACAATTTTCTTTTGAAAGTGTGGAATTCTATCACAGGACAGCTTCTTCATACATTATCTGTAAGTATTTTATTTTTAGAGTAATTAAAATGGTCAAAAAGCACATTATTTTAAGACACAGGAAATTTAAGTTCCAGGTTCCTTTCTATGATATACTATACTAGTCCTTGGAAAAATGATTTTCTGAGAGGGCTCTGTTGACATATCTGTAAAATAGGGATGACACGCGCTATACCTGCTAAAAGCAAGTATGAAATCTTTTCAAGATCTTTTCTAAGTCTGGTAGTTACTCATCTACTATGTTATTGTATACAATGAGGACATATAAGTTATTTTGTTTTTAGCAGGGGTTGGCATTTTTTCATTGTTACCGTTATAGGGGTAGAGCGTACCTTATTTCAACAAGGGTATCCTACATAGTTTTTTCAAGGAATAGGGGTAAGAGGAAGAAGTAGGAAAAGAAAGGTCTTTTTTCCTCTTTCAGAAAGTGTATTTGTCATTGTAAGAGGCTGTAGTATTTGTTATGTAAAAAGTTGAAAGGATTAATAGCAGAAATCACATGGGTAGTGTTGATGTTTTTCAGTTTATCATAATACTGGTTGACTTCAGATTAAGCTTAATTTAAAAACCTTATTTTTTGTCTGTTTCAACTATCAATTCATAAGCATTTTAAGGAGAGAATGCCAAATGGTTGCCATGTGATTACACGATAGTAAGTGATAAGAATAGAAACCAATTCTTCTGACTCAACTCAGTTGTCTTTATACTATATCATGGTGTTTATGTATCAGAGGGATGTAAAGTTCTTCTATTTTGCAAATGCTGTTTGAGTATCAGCTATGTGCCAGAAGTGGCTTAGGTGTTAGATATAAATGGTAAATTAGACAGAGTCCTGTCATGCTAGAGTTTATAGCCTATTATGAGAAATACCTTTAATCAGATAAGTGCTAAGAAAGAAAAATGCAAGATAGAATGCAAACTTCTAACAGGGTAACCAAATTTGATATGGGAGGCTCAGAGAAAACTTCCTGAGGAAGTGTAGTTTGGGTTAAGTTTTGAAAGATAAGTAGGAATTACCCAATCTCAACTTGTCAACTCCTTGATTAGGCCTTCCCTGATCAAACAATCCAAGGTAGCCTCCTAGTCTTTGTCTTATTATGTCACCTTGCTTTACTTTTATTAGGTTTATCACTATCTGATATTTTATTGTTATGTTTTCTTGTTTATTCCCTGCCTCTACATGGTAGGAAATCAATAAATATTTGGTAAATCAAATATGTGAGGAGGCTGGGGCATGTTTCTAGAAAGAGGGAACGGCATGTGCAAAGGTCCTGAGGTAGATAGGAGCTGAAAGAAAGCCAATTTAGCTATATCACAGAGAGCAGAAACAGATTCTCCCCAGATACAATTGGAAAAGTGGACAGGGGCCAGACTAGGATTTTGTAGGCTCTATTGTAACACCAATAGGAAATCATTAAAGGGTTTAAAGCAAAGGAATGACATGAGAGTTTTGCTTTTGAAAAATACCTTTTAATTCTGGTCACAGAAGAGGGAATAGATTGGAATGGGCTAAGAGTGACTGCAGATAGATTATAGGAGTCTGATAGTAGCCAGAATGAGCCAGGATGATAATTTAGATTTGTGTGGTGGTGGTGGAAATAAAAGTGTGCTTACTAAATACAAATATGGCAGATGATAAATTTTAAGACATTACTGATTCTGACTAGATCTTGTTCCCCATGATCTAGTAACTATGTACTCTCCTAAGGCATGTGACCCAAAAAAAATGAAAATCCCCAGCTTCAAAGTTTTTTTTTTTCCCTAATGTACATTGAAGTAGTCATGTCATTATCATTAGAGTTTAACAAACTAACTTTATGTTTTGCTGGTTAGGAACCTCAGAAAATATTGGCTATATCAGATTGATTCTTTTAGCAAGGGATTTTGTTATAACAAAGAAATAACTTTTTCTGTAGTCACGGGGAAGAATTTTGGTAAACTTTGAGTTGTGATGGTACTTATCATAAGGGGATTTTTCCTACTAATCTTAACACTACATTTTGAGCCAGTCTAAAGTTATATTTTCTTTCAGCAAGGTGTATTTTTGTCCATAATCGTAATATGGTAGGATACTCTATTCTATTTTTTTTAATAGCATGATTTGGGATAAAATGCACTTTTGAGATTTGCAGGATATGATCATTTTTTTAGACGCTCCTGATGTATAATGTGATGGTGTGTTCCTAAGATAAGTGCAGCTTCAGGATGTTCTCTATGCTTTTCTAAGGCTTGGAGCCTGTTCTTAATCATATACTCTCTAGTCAGGAGTTAAGTCCAAAGAAAATCAACAGTGATCTTAAAGCAGATGTTTGTAAACTTTTCCTTTATGAGGCATATAAACATATAACATATGTAAACATGTTATGTTATACAGATATAACATGTAAACATGTTATATGTTATACAGACATAACATGTAAACATGTTATATGTTATACAGACATAACATGTAAACGTGTTATATGTTATACAGACATAACATGTAAACGTGTTATATGTTATACAGACATATAACATGTAAACGTGTTATATGTTATACAGACATATAACATGTAAACGTGTTATATGTTATACAGACATATAACATGTAAACGTGTTATATGTTATACAGACATATGTAAACGTGTTATATGTTATACAGACACATAACATGTAAACATGTTGTTATACAGACAACATGTAAACATGTTGTGTTATATAGACATAACATGTAAACATGTTATATGTTATATAGACATATAACATGTAAACATGTTATGTTATATAGACATATAACATGTAAACATGTTATGTGTTATATAGACATGTAACATGTAAACAAGTTATGTCATATAGGCATGTAACATATGTAAACATGTTATATAGGCATGTAACACATGTAAACATGTTATGTTATATAGGCATGTAACACATGTAAACATGTTATGTTATATAGGCATGTAACACATGTAAACATGTTATACGTTATATAGGCATGTAACACATGTAAACATGTTATATGTTATATAGGCATGTAACACATGTAAACATGTTATATGTTATATAGGCATGTAACACATGTAAACATGTTATATGTTATATAGGCATGTAACACATGTAAACATGTTATATGTTATATAGACATATAACATAAAGCATTGGTTTTCAAACTTAATTTCTTTTTAGCAGGAAATGTATTTTCCAGATAACATCTTAAATGGAACTCCCAAATGTAAAGTAGATATAGAGCAGAGCCACTGTGCTTTATCCTTTGAATGTATCATGGGACCTACTAAAATACAATTTGAATACCAGTAATAGAGAATAGAGTGCTGGATTGTATTTATCACTGTGTCAGAATTGGGTGTTATTGAAAGATTCTGTTTGTCATATTCTGTGGCCTTTTAAATAGCCCAGTCCTAAATTCCACTTCAGAGGCCTGGTTAATGAGCTGTAACTGTTTAGACTATCTTTATTTTAAAAACATTTCTGGGTCTTCTGTTTATTGAATACTTGATAAAATCAGCAGTTTATAAGGAACTCTCACTGACCTATATTGTTCATGTAGTATCCATGTCATAAATGCTGTTAAATTATTCTGCATAAATTCATTTGAACCTAACTGATAGCACACTGAAGACCTTTTTACCAAATGAACCAAACATTTCGTGTTGCTTTCATTGTTAATACTGATTTTTATTATAGGGACATGATGATGAAGTATTCGTTCTAGAAGCCCATCCATTTGATCAAAGGATCATACTTTCAGCAGGTCATGATGGGAACATTTTTATTTGGGACCTTGACCGGGGGACCAAAATTCGGAATTACTTTAACATGGTAAGAGACACCTACCTGTATCTAGTTCACATTAAAACCAACTTCTCTCATATAATAACTTGGTTAATTAAAGTATACCTAGTGCAGAGGAACCTCTTGTCATATGTGTTTAAATTGGTTAAATATTTCAGAGAATAACTCAAGAATTGAGAATAAGGCCAGTTGAGCCTTTCAAGATGACTATTCTTAGGTGTTAGCATTTTCCAAATTCTGTTCCCCAGTCCCAAACTACAGATACTCAAATGTATTAAGCTTTGGAGTTAACACCTAACCAAAATCACAAAAAGATTGATGTTTAAAATGTAATTCTGATTTATGAATTGTAACAGTGACTGTAATACTTGTATCTGCCTCTGGTAAACCTCATATGATTTAGTAATCAGAAAGTTGTTTGGCAAACATGGACTTGGAGATACGGATGTTCTTTAAGATATGTCTCATACAAGCCATGGAAAAATCTGGTGAGCTATCTCTTCTCTCAGAACACCCTTCTATGGTGATGGGACTACTCATATCCACCATTCTATGATGATGGAAATACTAATATCCTCTTAAGAATAATTCTCATTAAACGTTTCTAAATTGTTGGTTGCTCTTTGAGTTTACTTTTATATGCTTTATATAGACCCAAAGCAAAGACAGATCCTCTGTCTTTTATTGGTAAAATTGATTGTGTGCTTTAATTTTAGGATGGTTATTTTAAGACTTCATTGCATTACAACTTAAGATGTGAAGATAGTATCTTGACTTTGCTTAGGTAGTACCTTTGTCATTTTGATTGCATTTAGTTCTTTTTTAATCTTCACAGTCACTCATTTAGTATTTCATGAGGTATGTCCTTGCTAGCAATGATTGATTTCATCCATTGCAATTTGCCTCTCCCTAATTTCTTTCAGGGATTTACTGTATCAGTAGGGTTCTGGCTGCAGAAGCCAGAGAGAGTACTTTGGAATGTTTGTGTATCACAGAGTCCATGGTATTAACAAGGAGAAGTTACCGCCTATCTATTATTTGAAAATTACTCTTAAGATGACTTGAGACTCCTCTGAATTTCAGATTGAAGGCCAAGGCCATGGTGCGGTGTTTGATTGTAAATTTTCACCAGATGGAAACCATTTTGCCTGCACAGATTCTCATGGACATTTGCTGCTTTTTGGTTTTGGATGCAGTAAATACTACGAAAAGGTTAGCATATTTAAATTTTGCTGTAGAGTATAATTTAGGATTGTGTCATTCACAAATTTTGTTTAAAGCCCTCCAGTTAATAAGGGCTGTTATGTGTCAATAGATACAAAATAAAAGAAAGTTGTCTTTCTTAGTAAAGGTTCTCAATTGTGATCTGCACTGCCAGAACCTTAGGTTTGGCTGTGCAGATCACAATAGAGATAAGTTATAGGGTGATGAAGATATAAACATTCCTTAGGAAATCCTTTTGCGTATATTATACCTGCCTTCCAGGTATAATAGGAGAGTAATTCTAACACATCACATCTTCTACTTCTCATGAATTGGGAATAAACCGCTGGTGACTGAATATTTTTATTTTCTTAGGTGGCTGTTTTACTATTTTACTTATTATTGATCCTGTTGAAATACTTTGGGAGCTAACTTAATTGGTCTTTATGTTTTATTAGCTGTGAATTTGAGAAAGATTATAGAATCTTAGAGTTGAAAGAGAACTCAAGCATTGAGGTCAGCTCAATAATTGCATTAATATCAGGTTTGAGTGCCTTTGATGTGATTGATATTTACCTGTTTTACCATATGTATTATACTTCATCTATCTTCATTTGAATAAAAATAAGCAAGAAAAATGTAATTACATAGGTTTGTGTAATTTTTACAACTTCAATACAAACGCCCAACTATATCTACTGGGTTGTTGCTTTAGTTCTTCTTATCATAATAGAAGAAATATGATATGTCTAAAAATTAATACAGATTATAGGATTTTGTGGAGAAAAGAGAATTACCATTTAGGTAATTCAATTCTCTTCTACCTAAAGGGAATACAGGGCAACAAAGGACTAGAAGAGTATGCAAAAGATTCTCTGATTTAAAAAATGAGTGTGCTCAAGGAATGAAAACAAGTATTTACTTATAAATTCCCTGTGTATGTTAACCCACTAAAAATCTGTCATAAAGATTCCAGATCAGATGTTCTTCCACACGGATTATCGTCCTCTTATTCGTGATGCCAATAACTATGTATTGGATGAACAAACCCAACAAGCTCCTCACCTCATGCCTCCTCCATTTTTGGTGGATGTTGATGGAAATCCTCATCCCACAAAATTCCAACGGTTGGTACCAGGACGGGAAAATTGTAAAGATGAACAGCTTATACCACAGCTGGGATATGTGGCTAATGGTATGTTTTCTCTAAAAGTAAATTTAAAACATTTTGCCCAATGTTATACATTACTGCTGTTCTCTCTATGATGTATGCCTCCTGCTAAACTCTGGAGTAGGTTATAATATGTTTCATCTTCTGTTACTGTTTATTTTCAGTTGTTTTTACCTTAGCATAGTACTTTTTCATCGTTTATCTCACCTGGACACAGATAAGTGGGTTAGGACAAACATAAGCATCAAGCAGATAATGTATTGACCTGTTTCTTTAGAAAACCTTATATATGTATGAAGCTGTTGTTTTCTATAGTATGGAGTTGTAGTAAAAGCTTTTATAACTGATGGAATTCCACTGCTTATCGTATTGGTATTTTGGTTTGAGAGTTCATAGTTAATTAAGCTAAGAAGAGGAAACTTTGAAAAACCACAGACTGGCCAGGCGCGGTGGCTCACGCCTGTAATCCCAGCACTTTTGGAGGCCAAGGCGGGTGGATTACTTGAGGTTAGGCATTCAAGACCAGCCTGGCCAACATGGTGAAACCCTGTCTCTACTAAAAAATGCAAAAATTAGCTGGGGGTGTTGGTGCACGGCTGTAATCCCAACTACTTGGGTGGATGAGGCACAAGAACCGCTTGAACCCAGGAGGCAGAGGTTGCGGTGAGCCAAGATTGCGCCACTGCACTCCAGACTGGGCGACAGAGTGAGACTCTTGTCTCAATAAAAAGAAAACAACCCCTACCCCGCAGCTGGAGGTAGCTATTTACCTATCCTCGTGTTTGAAATGCAAAGAGTTATTGGGTGTAGGGTAAGAGGATGTGACTATTTAAATAACACTCAGTCTTGGGAGATATTGGAAAAGCAGAGATGAATGTGATATATGATAGGAAGATAGTAGAATAAAACATTGGAATAAGCTATTTTCTATCAAAGCAATTTATTCTCTTCTGGTTAGCATATTTCCATTATTTATACTGCCCTGTACCCCCACTTAAAATGCCTTCATATCTTACTTTGGTACTTGTAGGTTGTCTTCAGGTATGAGCTAGTAAGTTACTGATTTGCAAGTAGAATTTCATATCATTGCTAGGGAATTAAGGCTTGAATGGAGTGAAATGCTGCACGTCCTTTTATGTTCTTGCTCATAAAGGTTGTAGAGCAGGGAAATGGTATTACACATGTGCTTGTAGTTACTGTGATGATGTCATATTTATTAGCCAAGGAGAAAAGGTGTGAATATTAATTAAATGGGAGATAAACTTGAAAAGAAATGAATAAGAAAGTCTAATTTATCAGACTTTATTTCTTGTACATTTCTTGTAAGATCTGATCACTTGGTTACTCTGTCAAATCTGACTAGAGGACAAGATGAAAACCAGGGCTATGATATACTTAAGAAAGAAAAAGATTTAACATTTTCATTCAGAAATAATCATTAAGTTTCAGTGTATATAAAAATTTTGTACTCATTAAAACACTAAAATGTTATCAAAAGACAGTAATAGTTGAAAGATCATCATTTCGACTTCTTTCAAAAAGGAAATTTTCACAAAAGAAGGAAGCAAAGCATTTTAGGTATCTGTGGTTAAACTTGTTCAAACCTTACTCAAAACTCTTATATGGCATAGCTAGTTGTTCTTAGGCAGCAAACCTGTACAGCATGTAACTGCACTGAATACCATAGACAGTTATACATACAATGGTACATATTTGTATATCTAAGCATATCTAGACAGAAAAGGTACAGAAAAATATGGTATAAAAGATTAAGAATGGTATGACTGTATAAAGCACTTACCATGGAATGGAGCTTAAAGGACTGGAAATTGCTATGGGTGATTCAGTGAGTGAGTGGTTGAATGTGAAGGCCTAGAACATTACTATACAATACTGTACACTTTATCAACACTGTACACTTAGGCTACACTAAATGTATATAAACAATATTTTTCTTTCTTCAGTAACAAATTAACCTTAGCTTACTGGAAACACTTTTTAGGTTTTTTGGTTTTTTGTTTGTTTGTTTGTTTTTTAACTTTTCGACTCTTTTGTAGTAATACTTAGCTTAAAACACAAATACATTGTACAGCTGTATAAAATATTTTTATATCCTTATGCTATAAGGTTTTTCTATTTTTAAAATTTTTATTGTTTTACTTTTTAAACTTTTTAAAAGTTAAGACACAAACATACATTAGCCTAGGTCTACACAGAGTCAAGATTATCAATATCCCTGTCTTCTACCTCCACATCTTGCTTGTCCCACTGGAAGGTCTTCCGGGGCAATATGGAGCTGTTATCTCTTAGGTTAACAATGCCTTTTTCTGGAATACCTCCAGGAGGACCTTCTTGAGGCTGTTTTACAGTGCAATTTTTTTTAATAATTAAAAGGAGTACATTTCAAAATGATACGAAGTATGGTATAGTGCATACATAAAACAGTAATATAGTCATTTATTACCAAATATTATGTACTGTGCATAATTATATGTGCTATGCTTTTATATAACTAGCAGTGCAGTAGGTTTGTTTATGCCAATAACACCACAAACGTGAGTACTGCATTGCACTGTGAAGGCTATGATGTCACTAAACAATAAGAGTTTTTCAGCTTCATTATGATCTTATGAGACTACCGTCGTATATGTGGTTTATCTTTGACTGAAATGTCGTTATGCAGCACTTGATTGTATTTTTAAAGATGAGAAGGCTCTCATAATAATGTCTAATTTGGGAGCATTGGTTAAGTCAGACACATAAGCTAGTACATCAAAAATATTTACAAATGTTTCATTTGATATATACTTTATTTTACGTTTAATGCTGTTTTTAATCATTTGTGTAGAAATTTATAGGTTGTTTTTACTATGTTTAAGGTATACTAAAATGTAAGTAATTTTGTGGCTTTGTATCTGGTCTTATTAAGGTGATGGTGAGGTAGTAGAACAGGTAATTGGGCAGCAAACCAATGACCAAGATGAGAGCATTCTTGATGGAATAATCAGGGAGCTGCAGAGAGAACAAGACCTGAGACTAATTAATGAAGGAGATGTTCCACATTTACCAGTTAATAGAGCATACTCTGTTAATGGTGGTAAGTATTTTTATACTTGTAAAGGGTGTAGTTTATGTACTGTAATTATTTTACTTTTACCAAATAATTACATGGAAAATATTTTACGTTTATAAATAAAAACTTTTTTATTAATTTACAATTTTGATATCAGATATATTGAAGTCTCATAATCTCATCATTTGTGGATAAAATGACTTAAGGTCTCCTGAGAAATACAGGTGATGCATTTTAATACACTGTCTTCTTTTTACTCAGTAATTTATCTGTAATCTTTACATTTGTTTTAAGAAGTGAAGTGCTACGGTAAGTCTAGCCCTTTTGTAGAGGAAACAACCTATATAGTTTTCAAAATTAAAACTACCTTAAGTTTAGAAATTACTACCAATTCCTCTTTTGTGGAGAGGAAAGCAGAATACCATGCTCTTCTCTTGAATAAAAAAAAAAAATACACTGAAGACAAGAAGCACTCTTAGGGAATACAGATACAGCTTCTGAATTAACTTTTATAATAGTTTGATCTTAATACCAGTAGAAGTTATTGTATAATTAATTATCTTAAAATGAATATTCTATCCTTAAATGATATTAAAATGATATTCTATCCTATCTTTTACATTAAACGTGCCAGGGCATCTGAGTTTTATATAAGTTTTAGCTTGTATCAAGAGCTATCAGTTTTATTTTCAAATGTAGTCATCTTATGAGATTTTTCAGATTTATTTCTTTTCATATATTTGTAACTAGAGTCATTTATCTGTGTAACATTGCATTTTAGATTCCATGGAAATGAATAAGGTGATTTAAATTTGTGGTGATTCACAGGGTATTTTACTCATTTCCTGATGTCTTCAATATCTCATAAAATTAAAATAGTTCATTTAGGTTACTTGAACACCTAACTCAGATAAGCTTTTCTGAACCTAGAACAAGATGACAAGTGGGCTGATAATCCTATCTATCCAGGCCCTTTATTCCTGAGACATAAAACTTTCTCAGAACCCTGATTTAAATATCCATTAATGAAATCTGTATTCTGTTGTACCGTCAATACTAGGTTTCTGTGGACAGATTAGAAATGGCATTAGTCAAGAGACCCCACTGACTTCTATTTGTAATATTGATTTGTTTTGAAATTTTTCTGACATTTAACAGTTGGATGTTTCAGTTTCCATTTGTGTTTTATTTGTAAATATAAGAAAAATAACATGAACCTTTCTGGAGTATTAAAAAGTAAAACTTCTGTTACTTTGTTTTCTTTCTTTCGTTGCTCATCAATCTTGAAAATGAAATTTTGATTTAAAAAAATATTTATTTACACTTTGAATCTTAACATTTTTGAAAGTTTTATTGATGTTTTATCTAGAAACACTGTAATGGAGAGAACAAAGATAGAATTTAGATCAAAAAGCTCCTTCCTGAACTAGTACTAATAAACATTTGTAAATCTCCAAATCATGTTGAATACATTTTTTTATATTCATTGAGCATTTAGTAGATGTCAGATGTGAAACTACTTTGAAAAAAATTAAAATAATTATAGAAATTTTAAACATTTCTCAATAAGAGTGCCTGCTTTATTTATAACAATATGAAAAACACAAAGGAGGGTACAGAAAATATAGAACAAAGGGATAGCAATTCTTACAGCAGTACTATATTTGAATCTACTGTTTTATTTAGAGCTCTGTTCTGGAAAACTATGGTGCCTTTGCTCACAAAGTGATAATTTTCCTTGTTTTTGTTTTAGCTCTGAGAAGTCCAAACATGGACATATCTTCTTCCCCAAACATCAGGCTTCGAAGACATAGTAGTCAAATTGAAGGTGTTAGACAAATGCATAACAATGCTCCTCGGAGCCAGATGGCCACTGAAAGAGATCTCATGGCGTGGAGCAGAAGAGTGGTGGTCAATGAACTAAATAATGGGGTTAGTAGGTGAGTCAATAAGGTAACATTTAGAAAAAAATTTAAAGCTTTATTCTTAGGAAGTGAATTGAAATGTACTATGTTAGCCTAGTAAATGAGGAATTTTAAAATATAGTTTAGTCATGCATTAGTTTTTCCATATTATTCCAGTGAGTTCACTTCGTAACAAATAATGATCATCTTCAGCTTTGTGCTGAATGCTTTGGGGAATATTGAAAATGCAAAACATTATCTCTGTTCTGAGTTTATAGCCTAGATTAGAAGAAAAGAATACAAGTAGTATTAAGAACTCATGAGGTCTTACATAATTAAATATGTGAGTGATATATGGACCCTAACATTGGAGCAGCCTGGGAGTACAATTATTTGTTAGATGCTAGTGCTTAGAGTATCTTTAGAAATGTCATTTAGGTAGGCTTCATTGGGTGAAAGAATTTCATTAGGATTAATTTCAAACTTATAATCCCTATTCATATTTGTAAACCCTGACATTTGCTGTAATAATAACTTTCAGATACTCCACAGCAACTGGAAATAGATTTAGAAAAGAGAAAGGACATTTACAGAGAATATGTACAATTCATTTTAATCAAGTATCTTCCTAACCAAGCCTTTTACCAGATCAACCAACAAATAGCAAAATTAATTTGGTTTCTCCTTTTCTTCTGCTTTCTGCTATAAGAAGGCAGCAGTGATAAGAAAAAAAAAAAGACATAATTAATGTCTTTGGAGTAAATGATTATTTACTCAAAACATAGAAAGCAGAATTGAAAGCAGGGACTCAAAGATATTTGTATACCACTGTTAAATGTGGCATTATTCACAATAACCAAATGGTGGAAACAACTCAATTGTCCACCAACAGATGAATAGATAAACAAATTGTGGTATATGTACAAAATGGCATATCATTCAGCTACAGAAAAGAATGATGTTCTGATACCTGCTACAACGTGGATAAACATGCTAAGCAAAAGAAGCCAGAGACAAAAGGACAAATATTATATGATTCCACTTATATGAAATATCTGGACTAGGCAAATTCATAGAGACATACAATAGATTAGAGGTTTTCAGGGGCTAGGAAGAAGGAGAAAATGGGGAGTTATTGCTTAATGGTCACAGAGTTTATCTTTGAAGTGATGAAAAAGTTTTGGAAATGCTGGTAATGGTTGCACAACTTTCTGAATGTAATTGATGCCACTGAATTATATGCTTAAAAATAGTTCAAGTGGCAAATTATATGTTTAAAAGTATTTTTATTATCTGATTCTTAAATGATTGGTTTTCTTCTTGATTTTCTGTTACTTTGACCTTTGACTTGTTATTAGGGTACAGGAAGAATGTCGAACTGCAAAAGGTGACATAGAAATCAGTCTTTATACAGTTGAAAAGAAGAAAAAGCCATCTTACACTACTCAAAGGGTAAGTATAGTTTTACAATACTTTGGGATACACTATTTGCAGATATTTGTAGATAATAGGCTTTTGAGAGGCAGCAGTTGTGTGTTAAGAGACTATTTTAATAGGTATCTGCATATAGGGAACCTACTTTTTGAGCCACAAATTGAGATATATGATTATTATTAATAAGAACAAAGTCACAAGTCGAGTGTCCCCCCAAATCTAGGACATGTGGTCATTGTAGGTGTAAGATATTTGTATTAAAATAACCATTTTTATATGATCAAAGTAGAACCTTAACTATATTACCAGATCACTAATTAGAATGTAAAACAAATGATCCAGATATCCTAGGCCAGAGATTGGCAAACTATAGCCCATGGGCCAAATCAGTTCTGCTACCTATTTCTGTTAATCTTTATTGGAACACAGCCACGTTCACTTATTTATGTCTTGTATGTGGTTGCTTTCAGGCTGTAAGACAGAATTGAATAGTTGTAACAGAGATTGTATGACTTGCAAAGCCAAAAAATGTTTACACTTTGGTCCTTTGCAGAAAAAGTTTGCTGATCCCTACCCTAGACCCATTCCTGGCTTACCAAATCATTTAGGAGCAAAATATGATCTGTATATTGTGATGTACTATAGAAAGAAACTGCTAAGCAGAATACTCTCAGGTACACCAAATGTATAGTTTTGTTCCCAAATTTAACCATAATTTCTGTAGAGTGTGGTAATTTGAAGAGTCTAGGATGATTTTGATGTTGTTAAACAAATCTAGGTAATGGACCCTGAATTTGCATTTTTTTCCATAATTGATAAACAGAAATTTAGGTAAATATCAAATGGATATCTGCAAATATTAGATCATTTTGATGTTTGCTTTCTTAACTTTTATTGTTAAGAAATTAACTTTATTGTTTTGTTAGTTTATTTGCTGTTCTCTGGTAAGTTTTTTTTTTTTTAAGAGATTTTGAATGACTCAGAACACTGATTTTTATTCATGTTTCTTACTAAGCTGATTTTATCAAACATCAGACTTGGCTGAGACTAATGGACAGGGTACTTAGGTCTGTAGATATTTTTACTTAGGTTGAAAATGTGAAACATTTACATACACTTTTAAACTTGTTGGCTCCTGATTACATTCTAGGATTGCAGCTTAGCTAAATGGAATATCAATAGTAATGTTTTATATTTGTAAAGGTTAGAATAAAATAGTTTTCACTTCAAATTTTAATCATTAAAAATTAAATCTCTATTTTGACCTGTTTACTAAATGAACATACTGCCAATTCTTGTTACAACTACAGGTAAGTTATCCATAGTTACTCAATTTCTCTTCTTCTATATTGTCCGCAAATAGTAGAAATAATCCTCAATGGGATATAAGGGATTAAACATGGCATGAATTTGTGTGCGTCTATGTGCCTTTGACGAAGAATCAAATTTTAAAATATTTGAAGAGATTTATTCTGAGCCAAAAATGAGTGACCAATGGTCCGTGGCACAGCCCTCAGGAGATCCTGAGACTCTGTGCCTGAGATGGTCGGGCTACAACTTGGTTTTATACATTTTAGGGATACATAAGACATCAATCAATAGATGTAAAATGTACACTGGTTTGGTGCAGAAAAGCAGGACAACTGGAAGGTGGGTGGTGGGCTTCCAGGTCAGTTTCCAATCCAAGATTTTCTGACTGGAAATTGGTTGAAAGAGTTTTTATCTAAAGACCTGGAATGAAGAGAAAGGAATGTCTGGATTAAGATAAGGGTTTGGGTAGCCAGGTGTGGTGGTGCATGTCTGTAATCCCAGCTACTCGGGAGGCTGAGGCAGGCAGGAGAATCACTTGAACCTTGGAGGCCAAGGTTGCAGTGAGCCCATATCACGCCATTGCATTCTAGCCTGCGCAACTAGAGTGAAACTCCGTCTCAAAAAAAAAAAAAAAAAAAAAAAAAGATGAAGGTTTGTGAAGACCAAGATTCTTATTATGCAGATGAAGCCTCCAGGTAGCAAACTTCAGAGAAAATAGGTTGTAAATGTTTGTTATCGGACTTAAAAAGATGCCAGACTCTTAGTTGATTCTCCCTTGAAGGGGGTCCTCTGCACAATGTAGGTTTTCCCCCACAAGAGACAACTTTGCAGGGCTATTTCAAGATATGGCAAAGAAACATTTGGGTTTAAAATATTCTGATTCCCCTCTTTATCTGTCATGTGATGCTATGCCAAAGTCAGGTTGGAAAAGTAAAGCCATGTTACATAGAGTTAAATAAAACCGCTCTGATGGGACTCTATGGTTTGTAAGGCATGACTCTCCAGACCCTTGAGATAGGAATTTGAGCAAGAGAATAACAAAAGAGCAGAGTTTAGATTTCAGTTCCAAAAATTAAATTGTTACTTTTTGTATGTAGATTGTTTTGAGTCCTTTCCCTTCTGTTGTTAGAAGTAATCTAAGATTTATTATTTGTTTTTTTTATTTTTTATTTTTTTATTGATCATTCTTGGGTGTCTCTCGCAGAGGGGGATTTGGCAGGGTCATAGGACAATAGTGGAGGGAAGGTCAGCAGATAAACAAGTGAACAAAGGTCTCTGGTTTTCCTAGGCAGAGGACCCTGCGGCCTTCCGCAGTGTTTGTGTCCCTGGGTACTTGAGATTAGGGAGTGGTGATGACTCTTAAGGAGCATGCTGCCTTCAAGCATCTGTTTAACAAAGCACATCTTGCACCGCCCTTAATCCATTTAACTCTGAGTGGACACAGCACATGTTTCAGAGAGCACAGGGTTGGGGTTAAGGTCATAGATCAACAGGATCCCAAGGCAGAAGAATTTTTCTTAGTACAGAACAAAACGAAAAGTCTCCCATGTCTACTTCTTTCTACACAGACACAGCAACCATCCGATTTCTCAATCTTTTCCCCACCTTTCCCCCTTTTCTATTCCACAAAACCGCCATTGTCATCATGGCCCGTTCTCAATGAGCTGTTGGGTACACCTCCCAGACGGGGTGGTGGCCGGGCAGAGGGGCTCCTCACTTCCCAGTAGGGGCGGCCGGGCAGAGGTGCCCCTCACCTCCCGGACGGGGCGGCTGGCCGGGCAGGGGGCTGACCCCCCCAACTCCCTCCCAGACGGGGCAGCTGGCCGGGCGGGGGGCTGGCCCCCCCACCTCCCTCCCGGACGGGGTGGCTGCCGGGCGGAGACGCTCCTCACTTCCCAGACGGGGTGGGTGCCGGGCGGAGGAGCTCCTCACTTCTCAGACGGGGCGGCTGCCGGGCGGAGGGGCTCCTCACTTCTCAGACGGGGCAGTTGCCAGGCGGAGGGTCTCCTCACTTCTCAGACGGGGCGGCTGGGCAGAGACGCTCCTCACCTCCCAGACGGGGTCGCGGCCGGGCAGAGATGCTCCTCACATCCCAGACGGGGCGGCAGGGCAGAGGCGCTCCCCACATCTCAGACGATGGGCGGCCGGGAAGAGGCGCTCCTCACTTCCTAGATGGGATGGCGGCTGGGCAGAGACGCTCCTCACTTTCCAGACTGGGCAGCCAGGCAGAGGGGCTCCTCACATCCCAGACGATGGGCAGCCAGGCAGAGACGCTCCTCACTTCCCAGACAGGGTGGCGGCCGGGCAGAGGCTGCAATCTCGGCACTTTGGGAGGCCAAGGCAGGCGGCTGGGAGGTGGAGGTTGTAGCGAGCCGAGATCACGCCACTGCACTCCAGCCTGGGCACCATTGAGCACTGAGTGAACGAGACTCCGTCTGCAATCCCGGCACCTCGGGAGGCCGAGGCTTGCGGATCACTCGCGATTAGGAGCTGGAGACCAGCCCGGCCAACACAGCGAAACCCCGTCTCCACCAAAAAAATACGAAAACCAGTCAGGTGTGGCGGCGCGTGCCTGCAATCACAGGCACTCGGCAGGCTGAGGCAGGAGAATCAGGCAGGGAGGTTGCAGTGAGCCGAGATGGCAGCAGTACAGTCCAGCTTCGGCTCGGCATCAGAGGGATACCGTGGGGAGAGGGGAGAGGGGAGAGCATTTCATTTTTATTTTAAACAACTCTCTCCTGGACCTAGTTTTGTATTTCAGAGGTGGGGGGTTGGAGATTGGACTAAATTTATTCTAAAGATACTTTTTACCTCTTAAGAATCTTAAGAATGCTGTTGATGAAAGAGTCAAACTCTATAAAATATTTGAAGAGATTTATTCTGAGCCATACATGAGTGACCAGTGACTGGATGCACAGTCTCAAGAAGTAGTCCCGAGAACATATGCCTAAGATGGCCAGGCTACTGGTTGGATTTATACAATTTAGAGAGACAAGACATCAATCAGTACATGTAAGACAGTACATTGGTTTAGTACAGAAAGGCAGGACAACTCATGGGGGTGTGACGGAGGAGGTTCCAGGTCATAGGTGGATTCAAAAATTTTCTAATTAGCAATTAGTTGAAAGAGTTATTGTCTAAAGACCTAGAATCAATGGAAGGAAATGTCTGGGTTTAGATAAGGAATTTTAGAGACCGAGATTCTCATTACGCAGAAGAAGCCTCTAGGTAGCTTTTTTCACAGAGAGTAGGTTGCAAATGTTTCTTTTCAGACTTAAATAAAAGTGCCAGACTTTTGGTTGATTCTCTCCTGGATCAGGAAAAAGGCCTGGAAAGAGAAAGGGATTCTCTACAGAATGTTGATTTTAAGACAGCTTTACAGGGCTATTTCAAGATATGACAGAAACATATTTGCGGTTAAAATATTTTGATTTCCTTCTTTCTCTGTTGTATGATGTTATGCCAGAGTCATATTGGAAAGTTAAAACACGTTATATAGGGTTAAGTAAAACCCCTCTGATGAGACTTTGTCGTTTGTGAGGCATGGAACCTCCCCTCCCATGCCCACCTCTGCAGAAGGCCTCTTAGATAGAAATTTGGGCAAGAGAAATAAAAGATCAGAGTTTAGCCCTCAATGTTAATCTAGAATGAACAAAAGTATAGATTATTAAATCCACTTATATATCTTAGCACTTTAAAAAAGTTTTCTAGATTTTTGAGCAGAACTAAATAAACACACATTATATATACACATATGACTGAAATGTCTTGCTTCATCCTATAATAATTCTGAATAATGTGGCATACGTAAATTATGAATGGGCAAATTCTTGCAACCCAGACATTTCTTTTTTTTTTCAGGAGGTGAAACAATTTTATTTTACAGTTGGCTTTAAAATCACAAAGACACTTACTTTTTTCATATAAAAACATTAGTACAGATACCTGTACTTTCTAGAAAGTGATTATATAGACATCTCAAAGAAAAATGTACCCCATTATATGGTTTTAGTGAGGTTGCTTAGAAAAAACTCACATCTGGACTGATTCCTAAAACATACCATTCCACCACCATTCTACTGATGATTAGTATCATCAGTATGTCTTCCAGCATTATTACATATTTGATAATACATACATAGGCTGGCTTATCACTTAATGTTCCATTGGTTCATCAGCCTTTTCTGCTGGTTAATCAGCAGGTTGAGCAGGCTTTGCCTTTCTCTGTGGCCTTTCTTCAAGACCTTCCAGGATTGGAGACACATCATCATCATCATGATAGATTGTAAACTCCAAATTATTACCAGCAATTCCAATGGAAACATTTTTGTAGTTATGTCCTGTTCTGCAGGAATTGTCTCTCTTCAGGCATGCAGACCATGTTTAACCAGTTCATTTAAATTGTATTCCATAAATTTAGACATATGTCTCTCCAAGTAAGTACGAGCTGACTGAGAATGGGCCCCAGTGGACGTAGCTCTGTAGTCAAAATAGTCAGCAGATGACCAGGTTTGGAAAATGTGAGGCCCATATCATTATAACCAGCAGTAAGTAGCCTAACACCATATGGTCTCCAGCCATATTGTTGTGTTGATATTTGGGTCTTGCTTCCAATTAGAGATACAAGAGAAGACACAGGAAGTGGTCTATCAGATACAAATCTGGAATCGAAACACTCCTGGCACATAAAATTACGTAACAGTTTACCATCATCAGTAAGCCCTGCAATTGAGATACCAATATGTTTGTCAATATGGAGAATTTTTTTCTGATGAGCTGCAAGCTCCGATGGTGCCCTTTTCAATGCAACCAATACTGCATGGGTTTTTGATTTCAGACCAACTGTGGCTGAACCTTGTTTAACAGCTTCCATTGCATATTCAGTTTGATGAATCCTGCTCCAGACAATGATATCATTGTCATACTGGTTTCTAAATGTGGTTCCAGCACAGGTCTGGTTGCAGCCTCTGGCAAAACTGAGGATCAAGAAGTTGCTGCCTAAACTATTACTCTGCGTTGTACAGAGAAGTCTGTGGGACTTTGCAACCCAGACTTTTCAGCACTGTCTTTAATTTGATCACAAGGTTTACAAAATAGGAGAGTGATCAATATTAGTGGAAAGTGGATTAAATATGTATAAATATAGTTCTATGTTGACTTTATTTTGGGGAATTTATTCTCATCTCCTACTCACCCCTACCCCCCACCTAATTTGCTTTATATATGTTCCTTGTGTGTTTACTGAGCTTTTCCTTTTTTAAAATTTATTATTCTTCTCTTTTACAGAATGATTATGAGCCTAGCTGTGGGCGTTCTTTACGCAGGACACAGCGCAAACGTCAGCATACTTACCAAACACGGTCCAACATAGAGCATAATTCACAGGCATCATGTCAAAATTCAGGTGTACAGGAAGACTCAGACAGTTCTTCAGAGGTTATATATATACTATTATTTATTTGATGTAGTTTTTTGTTTCCCAGTTTGTATCATCCATTTGGGTTTAAGGGTCACTTCTTTAATAGAAAATTATTTTAATTATATTCTTATAAGAGATTTGTTCATTAATAATACATTTAGTAGGTATATTTGGGCATATTTAATTCATTTAGATGTCTTGGATTTGTACCTCAGATGCTGTCTTGGTGAGGGTATCAAATATGCCAGCAAGAGTTTGACGTTGAGACAGTGAAAAAAAGAGTAAGAGGAAATCAGCCTATAAATGGAAAGGAGCGAAATATAAAGAGCATTAATAAGTTACACAGTTTCAGAACTGGTTGGCTATCTAATCAACATAATGTACACATGTTTTGTTATTATTGACTTCACCCCTCATAGAGATCATTGAATGTTGATTTTTCTCAGACCTACCTTTTTCATGGTAATGAATAAAGAGCATAGCTTCTTTTCATCTTGTTCTTCTGTTCTCCAGTCTTTTTGTTCTCTTAACAGCTTTCATTGTTAAATGCATAATGAAGGTTTAATCATGCATTGACAATATATGGTACTCTCATTCTTGTGCCATTCCCAATTCTTTTTTTTTTTTTTTGAGATGGAGTCTCACTCTGTCCCCAGGCTGGAGTGCAGTGACACGTACTTGGCTCACTGCAACCTCTGCCTCCTGGGTTCAAGAGATTCTCCTGCCTTGGCCTCCCCAGGAGCTGGGATTACAGGCATGCGCCACCATGCATGGCTAATTTTTGTATTTTTAGTAGAGCCAGGGTTTCACCCTGTTGGCCAGGCTGATCTTGAACTCTTGACCTCAGGTGATCTGCCCACCTTGGCCTCCCAAAGTGCTAGGATTACAGGCGTGAGCCACTGCACCTGGCCCCATTCACAGTTCTTAAACTATTATCAAAGATGTCCTACATTCATGCCCCACCCCCACCCATATGAAATCTTGATCTTAAAAGAATTATCACTATTCAGGAACTGATGCTTCCCCCACCCTTTAAAAAAAAAAAAAAAAGACAAGAGTCTTGTTCTGTTGTCCAGGCTGGAGTACAGTGGCTCAATCTCAGCTGTCTACAGCCTCCACCTCCCAAGTTCAAGCAATTCTCCTGTCTCATCCTCCCAAGTAGCTAGGACTACAGGTGCATGCCACCATGCCCTGCTAATTTTTGTGTTTTTAGTAGAGACAGGGTTTCACCATATTGGTCAGGCTGGTCTCGAACTCCTGACCTCAGGTGATCTGCCTGCCTTGGCCTTCCAAAGTGCTGGGATTACAGGGTTGAGCCACTGCACCTGACCTGATGCTCCCTTTTAAATGTAATGTGATAACAGCATTGCGGTTGTACTTTTAAAACAAATCCTAATCTTAGTAAATATTTATGGTTAAAATGGTTTTTTTGGTCATATTGTGCATCAAACTAATGCTAGAGTATAAGGCAGTGGGTGAGGGTATAGATAAAATAGGAAGTGAGTTATTACCTAAACTGGAGATTGTGTACACGGGTTATCTATTCTCTACTGTATTTAAAATTTTACATAAAAAAGATAATTAAAATTTTTAATGGAGAGTAATTATATTAACTCGACAGAGACATATAGGCATTTTGAAAACAATGTTTCTAATGTATTTAAGAGGGTTATATTTGGACTCAAGAAATCTATTGAGTCTTTGAAATCACAAAAAGATGTTTTATATCAATAAGATAATGATGCTAGAAATTTAGAAATACCTAGTAGACTTAGTTGTGAGTTACAGATATACTTAGAACAATAATTATGTGCGTTTTAAGAAGAACATTTTTTGAGGGCAGAATTCAAAAAAATGCTATAAAACAGGTAGTGGTTTTTTAATTAGAAATACATTAGCTGGTAATATCCATATATCTTAATTGCTGGCTCTTTGTTGTAGGAAGATGAAACTGTTGGCACAAGTGACGCTTCGGTAGAGGATCCTGTTGTTGAATGGCAAAGTGAAAGTTCTTCCAGGTAGTTTTAATGGTTTTAATTTGGTCAAAATTATTGAACAGTTTTAATACGAAATTATGTTCTCGTAGGAAATTGGTAAAACCAGAATTAAAATAGTGTTTTATAGTAGAAAAGGTATTGGCTGGAAGCCGAGAGACCTGATGTGATCCTGGCTCTCCCAATACCTTTCTGACGTCACTGTGGGCCTTTTAGTTTCTTCATCTATAAAATAAGATTCTTTTTAAATCCAAGATTCTACATCTTGGCAATTATATTCACCCTCTGCATAATGATGTTTCAGTCAATGATCGAGTGCATATGACTATGGTCCAATAATGAAGCTGAAAAATTCCTGTCACCTAGTGACATCATAGCCATTGTAACACTGTAGCACAAAGTGTTATTCATGTGTTTGTGAGGATGCTGGTGTAAATTAACTTGCTGAACTGTCAGTCATACAAAAGTTTAGCATATACAATTATGTACAGTATATAGTACTTAATAAACAACTATGTTACTGGTTTATTTACTATGCTATACTTTTATATTATTACGGTTTCTTCATTTCATTTTCTATTCTTTTAGAGATGGTGTCTTGCTATGTTGCCCAGGCATGCCTTGAACTCCTGGGCTCAAGCAGTCGTCCCACCTCAGCCTCCTGCGTAGCAGGGTGTACAGGTGCACACCAGTTTGCTCAGTTTATGCTATACTTTTTATTGTTATTTTAGAGTGTACTTGTCCTACTTGTAATAAATTATTAACTGTAAAATAGCCTCTGTCAGGTCCTCAAAGAGATATTCCAGAAGAAGGCATTATTATCATTGGAGATAAAAGCTCCATGTGTTTTTGTCTCTGAATACCTTCCGTTGAACAGGAAAAGATGTGGAGATGGAAGACGGTGATATTGATGATCCTGACCCTCTGTAGGCTTAGGCTAATGTTTGTGTCTTAGTTTTTAAACAAAATTTTAAAATAAAAAAAAATTTTAAACCTTAAAAATAGAAAAAACCTTATAGAGTAAGGATATAAAGAAAAAATTTGCCGAACGTGGTGGCTCACTTCTGTAATCTCAGCACTTTTGGAGGCCGAGGTGGAAGGATCACCTGAGGTCAGGAGTTCGAGACCAGCCTGGCCAACATGGTAAAACCCTGTCTCTACTAAAAATACAAAAATTACCCGGATGTGGTGGCAGAGGCCTGTAATCCCAGCTACTTGGGAGGCTGAGACAGGAGAATTTCTTGAACCCAGAAGGCAGAGATTGCAGTGAGCTGAGATTGCGCCATTGCACTCCAGCCTGTGCGACAAGAGTGAAACTCTGTCTCAAGGAAAAAAAAAAATACGGCTGTACAATGTGTTTGTGTTTTAAGCTAAGTGTTATTACAAAAAAGTCAAAAAGTTAAAAAACACTAAAAAGTATAAAGTAAAAATGTTACAGCAAGCTGATTAATTTCTTGTTGAAGAAAGAAAAATATTTTTTATAAATTCAGTGTAACCTAAGCGTAGTGTTTGTAAAGTCTTCAGTAGTGTACGGTAATGTTCTAGGTCTTCACATTCACTCACCATCACTCACTGACTCACCCACGGCAACTTTCAGTTCTATAAACTCCATTCATGTTAAGTGCCCTGTGTATGTATACATTTTTAAAAATCTTTTACGTCATATTTTTACTGTACCTTTTCTATGTGTAGATATACACTTAGCATTGTGTAGATATATACTTAGCATTGTGTTAAAATTGTTGACAGTATTCAGTACAGTCACATGCTGTACAAATTTGTAGCCTTGGAGCATTAGGTTCTACCTATATAGAATAGCTGTGTAGTAGGCTATACTGTCTAGGTTTGTGTAAGTATACTCTGTATGATATTCACACAATGACAAAATCACCTAATGATGCATTTCTCTGAAAGTATCCCCTTTGTTAACTGACTCATGACTGTATATGACTGTATATGTATTTATTTCAGTTTTAAAACAATCCCACTTCAGCATTTCCAAGAATAAGATGCTTTTTTATTTTAAAGAAGCATTTGTGATTTTGGACAGGGATTTTAATTCCTGTTACAGGAAACTAAGCATTATAATTATAATCCTTGGATAAAGTATACTTCATCCAAGAAGCATTTCATTAAAATTACTTAGATAATGGTCGAAATTCTATATTGATTTTTTTTTTTTTTTGAGATGGAGTCTCACTCTGTCACCCAGGCTGGAGCACAGTGGTACACTCTCGGCTCACTGCAACCTCTGCCTCTTGGATTCAAGTGATTCTTCCCTCTCAGCTTCCTGAGTAGCTGGGACTACAGGCGTGTGCCATCACACCCGGCTAATTTTTGTATTTTTAGTAGAGACGGGGTTTTGCCATGTTGGCCAGGCTGGTCTCGAATTCCTGATCTTGTGATCTGCCCATCTTGGCCTCCCAGAGTGCTGGGATTACAGGTGTGAGCCACCGTGCCTGGATGATATTTTTTCTCTTAAGTTAGAAAAAAATCCAGCCATGTCATTTATAATGCTGTTTGCTTACAGAATGATCTTTCAATTATTAAGTAAAACTACTCCTTTTCTATACTTAGGTATCCATAATTTTGATTTATTTACAGTGACTCATCAAGTGAATATTCTGATTGGACAGCAGATGCTGGAATAAATTTACAACCCCCAAAAAGACAAACCAGACAGACAACACGTAAAATATGCAGCAGCTCTGATGAGGAAAATTTGAAGTCCCTAGAAGAAAGGCAGAAGAAACCTAAGCAGACTAGAAAGAAGGTTTGTAACTTTATAAGTTATTTTGTTTTTGTTATTTTTTGTTTTTTGCCTTTGATAACTTAAATATTTAATTGTAACATTGACTTTTCTCTAAAAATAACATTTCATCTGAGAAAGTAAGTAAAAGTAGTTTGACTTCAAAATGTAAAGAATTTTTGAAATTTTTCTGTTATCAAAGGTAGAGGCTAGAATGTTTCATTATAATTTGTTATTCAAACATATTCACAATCATTTGTTAAAACGTAGCAATGTCCTAAAATAAACTACTGTCTTAGCAAAATTATTATTCTTGTCAGTTTTATCTGACAACATTATTATTCTTGTCATGTGGTATTTTGAGTCCTCATTTTTAACATTTTTAACTTGTAACATGGAAGAGTATGATAAATTGTATAGGACTCTCCCTCCATTCCACTATGTTTTTTGGTGTTTTTTTTAAAGAGATGGGGTCTTATGTTGCCCAGAGTGGAGTGCAGTGGCTATTCACAGGCATGATCATAGCACACTGCAGACTCGAACTGCTAGGCTCAAGCAATACTCCCACCTCAGCCTCCTGGTTGGCTGGGACTACTGGTGTGTACCACTGTGCCTGGCTTACCTTTATGTTTTTATTTCATCCCAATGACAGTTTCTTTTCCCCACTATAGATTCATTTAAATGATTTAAAGACTTGGTGTATGTAGTTATTTTAATTTTAACTTCAAAATTGATTATAGACACATTCTATAGTCTTTTGCTTTAGTAGACAATTATTTTCTTGATTATCACTATTTTATTGGCAAAAACTTATTCTTGCATTTGAATTCACGTGGTAGTCAAGGGACGTATGTAAAAGTTATGGTTTTCAGGTAGTCTATAGTGTCAAGTTATTACTTGTCAGTTAAAATTTAGTAAAGTGATTTTTTATTGGCAGAAAAATTGTATATAATAAAGCAAAATCATTCAAATTTATATACTTTAGGTTTCATTGTAACCTGAAATTTTTAATCTTCTCTACCTACTATTTTTCATACTATTGTTTATGTGTTTTATGTATTGGAGAACTGTGTTTTATACATATACTTTTCGTGTATTTATGTTTTAGAAAGGAGGACTGGTTTCTATAGCAGGTGAGCCTAATGAAGAATGGTTTGCCCCTCAGTGGATCTTGGATACTATACCCCGACGTTCCCCATTTGTCCCACAAATGGGAGATGAGGTAATTATTACCTGTTATAACCTTTTTCTGTGGAGCCTCAAGAGCACTAACTTTAATCAGTCTGAATATATTTATATTCCTAATTCCATTATAATAATATATACAGTGTCTTATCTGCTCTGCTCAATTATATATTTCTTGTGGAAGGGGACTGAACAGTATTAATCTTTGTATCCTTTGTAGGTCCTGGCACAGTAGCTTCAGTCTATTAGATGCTCATTGAATATTGAGATAAATTAATCAGCTTGTGAAGTCATAAAAATAATTGGCTTTATTTTAATCTGAATTGCCACTTAGTAGAATTGAGTGGTATTTTGAGTCCTCATTCATGTTCCAATATTTATTAAAAAAAAACAAAACACGTTCAACCTGATAGAAAGTATACAAGAAGGTATTTACTCCTTTAAATGAGCAGGGGAATGTAGTTTTGCAAACAGGTCTTTCTTTCTGAGTCTGTGATTGATGAGTGTAGCCATATTTATTATTGGCCAGTCAAAAATTAATCAAAATTCTACCTGGTAAAAAACTTTCAGTTTATTATGAAAATTATCGTAACATTGGAACATTAGAACTCTTTTTGGCTTGGATATTGTCTGATATACTAATTTTTTTAATCAATTAAATGTTTTTACACAGTTTTTAATTTAAGAGTGTTAGTAGAAATGTAATATTGTCATTGCAACAGCAGAAGGAACAAAACCTTGCAAGTAGGCTCTAAACATTTTGGGAACAATAAAAGTTTTACCAAACTTTTCTGTAATTGCCTGTTATAGAGATCTTATATCAGAGTAGCTATCAAATAGCCTTACAAATAAATTATTACCTGCTGATTATCTTTAGATATTTTAAGATGTTTCTTTTGATATTTTCATATAGGTATTGGACTTCTGAGTAATGCTTGTTTGCATAGTTATGTTAATAAATATTTTCTGATGAATGCTATACTTAAAAACAGAGAACTTGTAAAATTTTATTGGCATATATCAAATCACTATTTCTTGTAGTTGTTGCCTGTTTTTATTTTCTGGAGGCAGAAGAGGAGTAATGTTTAATTATGTTAGAAAACTTTATAGAACAATATAAGGATCTGTACACTCTAAGACCTAATGAGACTCCTGTCTAAGGACTATTTTTCTCCATTCTTTGGTGGAATTCCTCTTCCTCTATGTTGTTAAACTTACTACATCCTTATATGCTTCAAGACTAATGTGTATGAGGTGAAGACAGTTCTTCAGGTAATGAGGAAGATGTATGTAAACCAGACAATGAATATGTAGAGAATGTTTTTAAAGAAATTATAAAGGCAAACATACACTTTTTATATAATTGATTTCTTAATGGCAACATTACTTTTTACTTCATCTTAATATTAAGCCTTCATTGTCTTGCCTAGATATCCCTACATACAGATCATTGCTTCTTAAAATTATCATTTTCAAGGTCTAATTCAAATACTAACTTTTCCAGGATGTTATCCTTGTTTTTCATTGGCCAGTCCCTCTGTGCTCATGGCTTTTCTACCTAAATTATTTTTCTCTTCTGATATATAATATATTCTACCTTGCATTATAGTTATATATCTACATGAGTTTCCATATCCTAGAGGAAATGGTTTTATGCCTTATCACAGCATCTAGTGCCTACACATAGATGTTCAATGATCAGTATTTGTGGAATTCAGGAATGAATATATAATAAAGGATATCTTAATGACGTGTATTATTGGTTTTTAACCCTTACAATTATTTTATTTACTAATTTTAAACCTTTTTTATTTTCTGCTCAAATTTTTAGCTATTAGAAATTCTGACCTAGTATTGATTGGTAGAGTATGTTAATGTATTTTAGAAATCTCATAATATGGTATTTTTTGTTACTTTCTTCTATTTACTTATCTCTATCACTACTTTTTTTTTTTTTTTTTTTTTTTTTTTGACGAGTCTCGCTCTGTTGCCCAGGCTAGAGTGCAGTGGGGCTATCTCGGCTCACTGCAACCTCTACCTCCTGGGTTCAAAGCGATCCTCCTGCCTCAGTCTCTGGAGTAGCTGGGATTACAGGCGTGCACCACCACGCCCGGTGAATTTTTGTATTTTTAGTAGAGACGGGGTTTCACCATGTTGGCCAGGCTGGTCTCGAACTCCTGACCTCAGGTGATCCACCAATCTCGGCCTCCCAAAGTACTAGGATTACAGGTGTGAGCCACTGTGCCTAGCCTCTATCACTGCTTTTAAACTTGAGGAAAAGAAACTTTTTGTAATAAATATAGAAAATGATAGTAAATGGTGACTTAAAGAGCTGAAGAATTAAGTAATTGAATTCATTTTCCTTCCATAATATGCCAGTTCTGACATGAACTCTTGTAACAGGCAACTTTTAATTTGTCTTGAAATTACTCCATTTAGTAACCTGTGATTTATACTGTTTATATGGAATGTGTAGACTGAATATTAGAATTTTGATAGTTAGAGTGTCAGTTATAATTTGAAGTATAGTACAGTTGTCCTTCGGTATCCACACAGAATTGGCTCTAGGACCCCTTGCAAATAACAGAATCTACAAGGACATTATATAAAAGGCATAGTATTTGCATATAACCTATGTACATCCTCCTATATACTTTAAATTATCTCTATATTACTTATGATACCTAATACAATGTAAATGCTATATTAATTGTTGTTATATGATATTGGTTTTTTATCTGTATTATCATTTATTTATTTATTTATTTATTTATTTTTTGACAGGGAGTTTTGCTCTTATTGCCCAGGCTGGAGTGCAATGTTGCGATCTCGGCTCACTGCAACCTCCGCTTCCCGGGTTCAAGTGATTCTCCTGCGTCAGCCTCCCTAGTAGCTGGGATTACAGGCATGTGTCACCATGCCCAGCTAATTTTTGTATTTTTATTAGAGATGGGGTTTTGCCACATTGGTCAGGCTGGTCTCAAACTCCTGACCTCAGGTGATCCACCTGCCTCAACCTCCCAAAGTGCTGGGATTAAAGGCGTGAGCCACCATGCCCGGCCTAATTGTATTGTTATATATATCAAATATTTTCAATCTGCAGTTGATTGGATTTGTTGATGCAGAAGCTGTGGATATGGAGGGGCACATATACTTTAAAATATGACCAGTTTTGTGTACATTTTCCATGAATCTGCTTCTTCAGCACACTTATGAAGCTGATTGAAGGGAAAGGACTGTGTTTACTGTGTTTATATGATGTGGTACTGAGCACAGGGCTACGTAGGCATGAATACTGAATTAACATCATTTGAAACCTTTATTGTATAAAGTCTTTCAATATTATAATTATTTCTTTCTGCAAACAGAAGAGGATGTTTGTAGGAATGTATATTGGACATACAGAGTTATATAGGATGCTGCTGTTTAATACCTTATGTTTTCTGTTTTAGCTTATCTATTTTAGGCAAGGACATGAAGCTTATGTTCGGGCTGTAAGGAAATCGAAAATATACAGTGTTAATTTACAAAAACAGCCATGGAACAAAATGGATCTCAGGGTAAGTTTGCCAAATTCATAAGCTATGCAATGGAAGTAGCTTTGGAATTAAATTGCTTACCCATGGTTTTTTCCCCTCAGTTTTATGCATATTTCACTGTTGATTGTGTATCCAAGATAAGATGATGATCTATACTCTTGTAGAACTGAATATTATGGATCACATTTTATACGTTTCTCAAAATTTGTATGCTATTTTCTATTGTCTAGTCTATACTAGTCCATAATTAGAGCAAAGCAGGAGTTCCCCTTTGTGGATATTTTCCGTAATCAGCAACTTTTTACCTTCTGGAGCCTCCATAAGCTGAGTGTGTAGACTATAAACACTCTCAAGGTTCTGACAGCTTTGGTATATTTTAAATATGATAAATCACAAGAAGCCCAGAAACTTTTGGTGTTTTGTAAAATAGCTGTTTTGATATATTACCCTTGTAGCTACATATATAATACCCATGTGGCTCCATATTTTATGGAGAATGATTTTGTCAATAAATATTTCATTCATTTGTACCTATATATGTGTATATATATATGCACACATGCACATACAGACAGACATAGGTATACATACACCACCATTTCTACCTAGGTTTATGTGTGTTTCATTTTGGTTTTCTGAATAAGAGACTAAAGGGCCATTTTATGATAGTTTTCCAGGTAAATGAAGAGTTGTGTGATGATTCTTGACAGGAAGGATATAAGAGAGAATATGTATATTTATTTATTTATTTTTTATTTATTTTGCAACGGAGTCTCGCTCTGTTGCCCAGGCTGGAGTGCAGTGGCCCTATCTCGGCTCACTGCAACCTCTGCCTCCTGGGTTCAAGTGATTCTTCTGCCTCAGCCTCCTGAGTAGCTGGGATCGCAGGTACACGCCACCATGCCTAGCTAATTTTTCGTATTTTTATTGGAGACAGGATTTTGCCACATTGACCAGGCTAGTCTCGAAGTCCTGACCTCAGGGTGATCCACCCACCTCGGCCTCCCAAAGTGCTGGGATACAGGCATGAGCCACCGTGCCCAGCTGAGAATATGTATATTTATTAAGATAAAGATTTGATTTAGATGTTTGTAAAACTTTTTATTAATGTCATCAGGTGCTAAAGTAGCTTATCAAGTGAGCTTTACATAATTATCTTCTGGAAGATAGGGACAGCTCCCATCTATTCGTCATCAAGTAAAAGTTGAATCTTTTTTAGAATCAGAGGATTCAATAAAACATGTGATTTCTTACTCTTTTTTTTTTTTTAAGACAGAGTCTCGCTCTGTCACCCAGGCTGGAGTGCAGTAGAGCGATCTCGGCTCACTGCAACCTCCGCCTCCCAGGTTCAAGAAATTCTCCTGCCTCAGCCTCTCGAGTAACTGGGATTACATGCACCCACCACCACGCCTGGCTAATTTTTGCCTTTTTAGTAGAGATGGGGTTTCACCATGTTGGCCAGGCTGGTCTCGAACTCCTGACCTCAGGTGATCCACCCGACTTGGCCTCCAAAAGTGCTGGGATTACAGGAATGAGCTACCTCACCCGGCCAAGTTCTTACTTTTTATCCTAACCTTGTTGTCCTAGGAAATTGTAGGAGCAGCTTATATGTGGTAAAAGAGCTTGGGCTTTGGAATAAGACCTGGATTTCAATTCTAGCTTTGCTATATGCTAATATATAACTTTAAGCAGGACCCTATACCTATGAAGATCAGTTTTGCCATCTGTTAAATGTGATTAATAATCAGTAAATGTGTATGATTATTGTAAGATCATATCCAGAATCTATAAGGAACTTCAATCAACAAGCAAAAAAACAAACAATCTCATTTAAAAATGGCAAAGGACATGAACAGACACTTCTTAAAAGAAAATGTATAAGCGACCAACAAACATATGAAAAAATGCTAAAACATCACTAATCATTAGGGAAATGCAAATCAAAGCCACAAGATACCATCTCACACCAGTCAGAATGGGTATTATTAAAAATTCAAAACAAACAAACAGATGCTTGTGAGGTTGTGGAGAAAGGAGAATGCTTATATACTACTGGTGGGAATGTGAATTAGTTCAGCCACTGCGGAAAGCAATCTGGAGATTTCTCAGGAGACTTAAAGTAGAACTACCCAAATTCCATTACTGGGTATATACCCAAAGGAATATAAATTGTTCTACCATGAAGACACATGCACATGCATGTTCGTCACATCACTATTCACAATAGCAAAGACATGGAATCAATCTAGATGCCCGTCAGTGGTGGACTGGATAAAGAAAATGTACATAGACATCATGGAATACTGTGTACCTATAAAAATTGAGGTCATGGCCTTTACAACAGCATAGATGGAGCTGGAGGCCATTATCGTAAGTAAAACAGCTGAAAAACAGAAAGTCAAATACCACACGCCCTCTCTTACAAATGGGTACTAAACAGTTGGTACAACTGGACATGTAGATGGAAATGATAGACATTGGGGACTCCAAAGGAAGGGAGATTAGGAGGGGGATAGGGGTTAAAAACTTAGCTATTTGTTACAGTGGTTACTATTTGGAGGATGGGTACACTAGAAACTCAAACCCCACCATTATGCAATATATCTCTGTAACAAACCTGCACGTGTACCCCATGAATCTGAAGTAAAACAAAAACAACAAAAAAGATAATGTTGTAGACATTAAAATATATAAGTCTTCACCCCAAACATGTACACGTACATATATACCTGGATGCTTACATACTGTATTTTTGCTAGGGGAGTGATTTTTAACCAGAGCATCATACTGCACTAGGGAGTTTTTCCAAAATAGATATATTACCGAGCTATACCCCAAACAGAATTTGATTCTATAGGTGTAGGATTTCGGATCATTAAATTTGAAGCATTTCCCCAGGTGATGTGGCTGCTCATCCTTGGTTTAGAGCCTTGCACTAAACTACAACCTGCTATTAGGAGTTAAGAGCCATATCTTATTACCTTTAACACTTAGTGTAGTGCCTGGCATTTAGAGAATTTTCAGATAATAAATTGTTCAAGTAATAATGAAATATTATACAAATGTTAAGTAATTATATTGAAAGTAATAATTTATTGGTATTCTCATGAATAGGAGCAAGAGTTTGTTAAGATTGTAGGAATCAAATATGAGGTTGGCCCACCCACACTGTGCTGCTTGAAGCTTGCATTTCTGGACCCAATTTCAGGCAAAATGACTGGAGAATCTTTTTCCATTAAGTGAGTAGTTATCTCTGAGTCTCTGTTTGAGTGTGTGTATTTTAATACCTATTGTATATTTTAGAGTACAGTGCTCAATGGGAGAGAAAACACTATAGCATTCTTTACTACAGGGTTTAGAATTATAAAGACCAGAGTTTAATTCCTAGTTTATTTCTCCGTTTTATTTATATTTGTGTGTGTGTGTGTGTGTGTGTGTGTGTGTGTGTGTGTGTGTGTATTTATGTTATGGATAGTTACATAGATAGGTTCATAAGCAAGTTACTTAACCTCTCTGAATTTATGTCTTCATTTGTAAAATGGAAATGCTAATCTCTTCCTAAAGATTGTTGTGAGGAATCAAAGACAAACCTTTATAATTCCCTAATTGAATGTTTGAAACATGGTGGTTGCTTTTATTTCTGTTAATAATAATAGGAATAATAAGTCAGAGGCTCTTTATGTGAAGTTGAGTTTAAAACGTAAGGAGATTAAAGAACATTAATTCATACTCCTTAATATAAAATACCTCATATTAAGGTTTATAAACCTGTATTGGCATCTTTATATTTTTAAAGTAATATGGCAGTAGGCAGGGCACTCCCAAACAGGTCAGAGAAGGTGATGTTTAAGTAAAGGCATTTCTAGGGACTGTGAGGTTTGCAAACTTTTCTCAATGGGTCTACAATAAACATATATCCTTGGACATTTAGTAACATATATTGTTATATCTCTATATTGATTCATATGTGCTTTATTTTCTGTATAGGTATCATGACATGCCGGATGTCATTGACTTCCTTGTGCTACATCAGTTTTATAATGAAGCCAAAGAAAGGAACTGGCAGATTGGTAAATATAGAATTGTTGTTTAATAACTATTAAGCTTATGTACAGTAAGTAACTTTTTAACTGTGATTTAACAGAAAGAAAGTAGCTTATCATTTAGCTGAAAAAAGCTACCAGAGAAACTAGAAAACTTAAGTTAAAATTTCCTTTTAGTTATTTCTTATGCACATTGTGTGTGGCTTATAATCTCTAAACCTTCTGCAAATACCTACTCTATTAGTATACAAACAGGAATATAAAGAAAATTCTCAAATGTCTGTTGCCCTAAAATAGAGCACTTTACACTTAGGTTCTAAAACACATGATTACTGATTGTGATTTGTTTCCTTTTTTCCTTCCTCCATCCTTGTTTCCCTCCCTGTCACCTTCCCACCCTCTTTTGCTCTTTTACCCTTCTTTCTTTACTTTTTTGATTATAAAAAGCAGTATAGCAATAATGTAAAGGAAAATATTTTATAATTTAAATAAATTTGCTTATAGCTCTATTGTATAACAATACAATACAGAACATAAGGATTTTTAAACTATCAACTTTTTTGCACACTTAATTACTTAGGCCTGAATTTTAAAAATCTAATTGTAGCCATATGTATTAGTTCATTTTCACACTGCTGTAAAGATACTACCTGAGACTGGGTAATTTATAAAGAAAAAATCATTTAATTGATTTCACATTTCCACATGGCTCGGGAGGCCTTAGGACATTTACAATCATGGCAGAAGGCAAAAGGGAAGCAAGACCTTCTTCATATGGCTGCAGGAGACAGAGAGTTAGAAGTGGAAGTGCCACACCTTTAAACCATCAGATCTTGTGAAAACTCACCATCACAAGAACAACATGTGGGAAACTGCCCCCATAATCCAATCAGCTCCCACCAGGTCCCTCCCTGGATGTGAAGGGATTAGACTTCAAGATGAGATTATGGTGGGGACACAGAGCCTAGCCATATCATTCAGCCCCTGGCACCTCCCAAATCTCATGTTCTCATTTCAAAACCAATCAACAGTCCCCCAAAGTCTTAACTCATTCCAGCATTAACTCAAAAGTCCATGTCCAAAGTATCATCTGAGACAAGGCAAGTCACTTCTGCCTATGAACCTGTAAAATCACAAGCAGATTCGTTACTTGCTAGATACAGTGGGGGTACAGGTATTGGATAAATACTCCCATTCCAAATGGGAGAAATTGGCCAAAACAAAGGGACTGAAGGCTCCATGCAAGTCTAAAATCCAGCGGGGCAGTCAAATTTTAAAGCTCCCAAATGATCTCCTTTGACTCCATGTCTCATATCCAGGTCACGCTGATGCAAGAGGTGAGTTCCCATGCTCTTGGGCAGCTCCATCCCTGTGGCTTCGCAGGGTATGTCCCCTTTCCCAGCTGCTTTCACAGGCTGGCGTTGAGTGTCCGCAGCTTTTCCAGGCACACGGCGCACGTTGTCGGTGGATCTGCCATTCTGGGGTCTGGAGGACGGTGACTCTCTTCTCACAACTCTACTAGGCAGTACCCCAGTGGGGGCTCTGTATGGGGGCTCCAACCCCAAATTTCCCTTCTGCACTGCCCTAGCAGAGATTCTCCATGAGGGCTCTGCCCCGGCAGCAGACTTTTGCCTGGATATCCAGGCATTTCCATACATCCTCTGCAATCTAGGTAGAGGTTCCCAAACCTCAATTCTTGACTTCTATGCATCTGTAGGCCCAACACCACATGGAAGCCATCAAGGTTTGGGGCTTACACCCTTTGAAACAACAGCCTGAGCAGTACCTTGGCCCCTTTTAGTCATGGCTGGAGCTGGAGCAGCTGGCAAACAGAACACCAAGTTCCAAGTGTGCGCAGAGCAGGGAGGCAGCCCCAAGAAACCATTTTTTCCTTCTAGGCCCTGGGTCTTGTGATGGGAGGGGCTGCCTTGAAGAGCTCTGACATGCCCTGGAAGACATTTTCCCCCATTTTCTTGGTGACTAACATTTGGCTCCTAGTTACTTATGCAAATTTCTGCAGCTGGCTTGAATTTCTCCTCAGAAAATGGGTTTTTCTTTTTTATCCTATCAGTTATCAGGCTGCAAAAGTTCTGAACTTTAATGCTCTGCTTCACTTTTAAAGATAAGTTCCATTTCCAGACCACATCTTTGTGAATACATAAAACTGAATGCTCTTAACAGCAGCCAAGTCACCCCTTGAATCCTTTGCTGCTTAGAAATGTCTTCTGCCAGATACCCTAAATCATCTCTCTCAAGTTCAAGTTTCCACAGATCTTAGGGCATGGGCAAAATGCTGCCAGTGTCTTTATTATAGCATAGCATGAGTGACCTTTACTCTAGTTCCCAATAAGTTCCTGATCTCTATCTGAGACCACCTCAGCCTAGACTTCATTGTTCATATGGCTATTAGCATTTTGGTCAAAACCATTAAACAAGTCTCTAGGAAGTTCCAGACTTTCCTACATCTTCCTTGATTTACAGCCTGCCTTGAAGATCTGTAATATAAATACTAGTATGAAGAGATTTTTAAAGAAAGCTAAAAGCAAGATAGAAGAATCAACTGCATTTATGTACATATGTAATACAATAAGAAGTGTGCCTAATGATGATGCTAATTAATTGAAAAAAGTTAAATTATGCTTGGTAGTATTTATTTAAGATGTGGTCATATGTAATTTATTTCAGAAAGATTTCTACCACTTGGAAATCAAAATACATAAAGAGGTTAAAATGTAAAATAATCACTTATCCCGAAAACCTAGATGGAAGCTTCTTATAATGCTAGATACAGTACTTCTGTTGTCAACAAAAAGTAGTAATTTAGAGTGGGAACAGAGCTAATATTCTCAAGAGCATCCTTTTAAGAATTTTAAAACATTATAGGTGATAGATTCCGCAGTATAATAGATGACGCCTGGTGGTTTGGGACTGTGGAGAGTCAGCAGCCTTTTCAACCAGAGTATCCTGATAGTTCTTTCCAGTGTTACAGTGTTCAGTAAGTATGTTTATGATCTTTTATGCCTAATATGACATTGTAGTAGTATGTGGACTTTTAATAGCCTCCATCAGGAGTAATGCCCTTTTATCTGACTTATCTAGTCTCACAATACCTGTACCTGTAAAGAAGAAATTTGATGGTAAAATGCTCAGTTCTTCCCTTGTTTTAGTCAAAGCAAAGTTCTTTGTTTTCTTTGACTAAAACAAAGGAATAACTAAACACTTTATTGCTACCTCTTTTGTTGTTTGCATTTTCTATTAACTATTTCTACTTTAGACAAGAATTGCAACTATTTTTTAATGGGAAATATGGAAACTAATTTACTACTTAAAGTAATTGTTATTGCTGGAATATAGCTATGAATATTAGTACTTAGTCTTTTGTTTAGTCGTATGAATTCTAGGCAGAGGTGGTTGCATCATGTTTGGAAGTACTATTTGTTTTCAACATCTACTTTAATTATTCTTGAAAATCCAGAGTTGTAAGATTGCTAATGAATGAATCCTCTCAAGAATGATAGACGAAATGTTTATTCTCTGAGGACTGACTTTTAGTCTCCATATTGACAAAAAGTAGGCTTTCTGCCCTCTAAGTTTCATAGCGATGGACCATGTTTTCTCTATTAGAAGTTTATTGTTATCTGTATGTAACCGGAGTTGTACTTTCAAGACAACTGTATTGCCCTTTTTCAAATTTCACCCCCAAGAAGTCATGTAAAATTGTGGTAGTATATGAAAGGAAGTACTATATGATTAATTTGATTTGCATCTTCTTATTTTTTAATAGCTGGGACAATAATGAGAGAGAAAAGATGAGCCCATGGGATATGGAGCCAATTCCAGAAGGAAGTAAATATGCTTTTAAAAAATGAATTATAATTCTTTTAAAAGTAAAATGGTAATCACATGATATTGGAAAATAATTTTTTCTAATTTTTTTTTTTTTATCTTATACCTAGCTGCCTTTCCAGATGAAGTTGGTGCTGGTGTTCCTGTCTCCCAGGAAGAATTGACTGCTTTGCTATACAAACCCCAGGAAGGAGAGTGGGGGGCTCATTCCAGAGACGAAGAATGTGAACGGGTTATTCAGGGCATCAACCACCTTCTTTCCCTGGGTATGATGAATGTGAAAAAATTTTAGGAGCATGCAAGAGAGCTAGGAAAATCAGCAGAAGTTTTAAGTTCTACAGAAGGATATGCAGTTTCTCACTGTACACTTCAGTTTTAACTCAAGAAGCACAGTGATTCTAGTTTTAATATTAGCAGTTTTATATGCTTGGCCAAAGTAATAACTGATAATTTTTTGTTTAGCAATCTGGGGGATAATAGTGAAGGTAACTGTGTAAGTGTCTTTTTCCTTTTTGAATCACTTTGATTCTCTAGCTATTCCTGAGCCTGACTTTGGATGGGTTTCTTGGTAAGGACAGTGGATGAGTAATGTATTTTACCCACATGAGTAGTTAAATTTGCTAAAACATGTCACTTGAGAAGTTTGGCATTTATCTAGGAAAGACAGAAATCTGAAGTTAAACCCAGTGCTCCTCTAATTTTGTTTTACCTGATTTGAACCAGTGTATCATGCATGATTCATAGATATGATGTCCAAATATAAAGAATAACGTTCTGTTTGTATAATGGAATCCTCATGGTTTTAGAAAAGTAGTATATCACCCTCCCTTCTTGTTTATATATGAATAAATGTTTGTTACCATGAGATGTTAATGTCCTTTATAGCTACCTTATTTGATTTTCATAATTTTGTAGATTTTGCCAGCCCTTTTGCTGTTCCAGTGGATCTCAGTGCCTACCCCTTGTATTGTACTGTAGTTGCTTATCCAACTGACCTCAATACCATCAGGCGGAGACTTGAAAATCGCTTTTACAGGTCTGTTTTTTTTTAATCACTTATTATAAAATTTATAGCTTTATGGCTTTTGCTTTCCTTTTTGAGATCTGCATTTCCATAGTATAACATGATCATCCAAAAGACCCACACCAAAATTTCCTTTAAAAATTTAGAACATTAATTTCCCTTTATTTAGTAGATTCTCACTCTTGGGGATAGAGAAGAAAGGCTGAGAGGAATATATGGGTAGTACAAATGGTGTGTAAAACAAAAACTACATTTAACTTTAGTTTATTAAGGGCAATTTAAGTGGTTTGTGGATTCATCGTTATTAAGGTGCTACAAATTTGGAGCATGTTTAAATCCTCTGTTGGAGAATTTGGTCAGAGTTAATTAGATTTAGTTACCAGCACTGAAATATATACAGGAAAGGAGCCAAGTAATTTTTTTGTTTTGGTTGGGATGAGAGATGATTATGGGAAGGTTGTAGAGGGCATATCTTGGTCCCTCTGTCATCCAAGTCTCCTACTGACGACAGTATTCCATGACTGGTTAATCTGCCTTTGCAATTGAGAACTGGTTGTATTTTTATAATATATTATTTTGATTTAATATTTATATCATAAAAGTAATTAGATAAAAATCTGTCATTTTTTATAATCTGTTTTTTTTTCTTGCTCTTCTTGGCTCTTCCCCTGAAAACTAAACTAAACATTCTTTTGACCTTGTCAAATGACTCTTTACCTATAATGTCCTAGGTCAGTTCTATTTGAAGTTTTGTATATACATTCCAGTGGTTCAGAATCCCTGCTTGTGCTTTAAATACTGTAACTATATCATCTCTTTTTAGTGCTCATCAGTCAAATATATTGAGTTATATGCATATTGGAACACCTTTGACACACTGTGTTTAAGTACATATTTGTTCCATATTGTATATTCCTAAAATATACTTTAAATATATTAGCCAAGGCTAACAGAGTATTTTTTCTTTCACAGGAGAATATCAGCATTAATGTGGGAGGTACGCTATATTGAACATAATGCCAGGACTTTCAATGAGCCAGACAGTCCTATAGTTAAAGCAGCTAAAATTGTAACTGATGTCTTACTTCGATTTATTGGGTAAGAAGCAGTTTTAGCTTCCAGAGAGTCTAACTTAAGGTTTTTAAAAAATTAATTTTAAAAAAATTAATTGAAAAATTGTAAAAATTACTGAAGCTTTTGAAATGACTTGTTTCTTAGGGATCAGAGCTGTACTGATATACTGGATACTTATAATAAAATTAAAGCAGAAGAACGAAACAGTACTGATGCAGAGGAGGTAAGAATCACAGCATGATTAGTAGGAATGAGTTACTTTTCTCTTATTTGAAGTACAGTATTATGTGTAAATGTTGTAATTGGCCATGAACAGCAAAACAGATTTTTGAAATCTGGCTGAATACCAGCGTCTTTTAAAGTGTACTTAGATGGCATATACCAAAAATAAAATAGAGCTACAGGGTTTATTCAGAGACAGGTGGCCAGTCATCATATTTGACACAGTGGATGTAAGTGACGAGAAATCAACACTTTATTTTCCAACATTTAGAAACAAGACAAGTGCTCAATATTTTAAAAGAATGCTTAGTTGATGGAAATTTCAGTAAGGATTTTATTTTCTATATGCTGTATAGAAAATATTAAAGTATTTTAAAGTTTCAGGCTTGAAAGTCTAAATTTTTGGTAGTTTCATGAAATTATTACTCGATTTCCTTTCTGAAAATTTATAAAGATAAATCAGTCTCTTCTGAATGAAATGGAAGTAGTACTCAGCAGACCCTCGTATTCCTGATTTTCCCCACTCATCTATGTTTCTAATTTACACAAAGCCGTATTTGACTGGAGGTTATGATAGAAACAAAAACCAAAATAGAGGTTGGAACAATATTGGAAAGTGATAATTCACAAATCTTTACTGGAAAACAATTCATCCCAGGGATGAGTGACTCACATATGCTAGATTGTGTTGCAGTGGCATGAGATATTTTGCATGTTTATATTATTTATACCGTTAATCTCCAGAATGGTAAATCTCCAATGCTGTTTTTTTTTATTTTTTTCATGAAAATGTGTCTGACTATGAAATATATTATTGCAGTTAAATGTTACTTACATAATAAAGAAAACATGATATACCAATTAGATATTATTATAGTTTCTTAAAACCTAAGAAAAATGTATCACTAATTTTTTTTATATTTTCTTATATATTCCTTATATTTTCTCTGACCTTTCACATAAATATATTTTAGTTTGAAATTTGATGTAGCAGGAATTTCACCTCAGAGTAGCACTATTTGGGTTAAAATAGAAAACTTAAGTAAAAATGTAACTCAACAGCTTTATTTTATTAGAAAGGAGTACCAATATCTCATGAGCTACTTTTTATTTTCTACTACATATTACCCAGTGTTTCACCAGCACTAGTGGTGCTTGGGTCTTGACTCTTCATATTAAAAAATTATCCCTTAGAGAGATACTTAACTGAAATAGATCTCTTTTCTATAGGAAAATATAAATGCATATTATATGAGACCTATTTCTTGAAATGTCAATGGAGTAATCATGAATAATTAATAATTTTATATTAAATAAGCATGTCATATAGAATAAGGTTTTTAAAAAATACTAACACTTAGATACAATTTTAGCAAATACCAACCACTACACTGTTCCCCTCCTTTCCGATTCTTGTTTAAAGAGAAACCTTGTTTAATTCTTCTTCCAGTATATTTTCCAGCTTGTACACTGCATATTGGGAAAGTTTGGTGTGAGTCTCCCTCTATCTTTTGTTCTACTTGCTGCTCCAGTGGGGAAAGTTAACTGTGATTTTATTTCCCGTTTATTTGTAAATGTCCATCTAATTTATATGACTTTGAATGTAACTTAACGTCTTTTCCCACTCTTCCTTTTTAATTAAGGATACAGAAATTGTTGATTTAGATTCAGACGGTCCTGGTACTTCATCTGGAAGAAAGGTGAGTAAATAAGTGAACTGCTGAGGAGATATGTTTTCAGGTTTCCTGTGTCAGTGATCCCTAAGACCAACCCCATATTTGGAGAATTGCTAGAAGGATTCTTGCAACTAAGTATATTAGGTATGCTCATTGATAATATTTATTAGAGTGATGCAGTAAGGGTACCCAGTTGAGTCATGGGTGAAAAGACACAGGCAGAGTCTGGAGAAAATTATGTACAGGCTTCCTTATGCTATTATTATCTTTCCCCTGTGAGGGGTCACATATTACACTCTTTTTCCAGCATGTGTGTGATTAGAGACTCAGTCCCCAAAGATTTTACTAGGGGCTGGTTATGTAGGTACCCTCTGACTAGCACGTACTAAGATTCCAGATTCCCAGAAGGAAATCAGGTATTCAGCACAAATCACATTGTTTATACTGTCTAGGTGCAGTAAACTGTCTTAATAATTTAGGAAGCCATTCAAATGCCAAGTTCCCAAATGCCAGCCAAGGGCCAACCTTGCAAGCAAATCCTGGCCTGCTATGTTAACTCTTTTGTGCAGACTTCTGCTCTATAATAATTAGACATGTAGTTATTTTATATAAGGGACAATATATTTTGAAATACTGAAAGAGATCGTAACAAAATCAAATGGTACACAACAGAATTTATCATGACCACAAAGGATTTCTGGGAAAAAAAATCATTCAAGTGTTCTTTTGAGAAAAATATGATGCCATTGTCAAGTATACTTAACTACCGGCAAATATTAAGGCTCTATAACTTGATGTTGTAGAGGAAAGAAGCATTTGTTCCTCTGTACATTATTTGAAGTTCAGATTTGAGTACTAGAATTCTTGCCATTTCCATGAATATAATGTCTAGGTTTTTTTGCTCACTAATTATTTTTGCCAGGGAAAATACTGTCTAATTTAAACTAAGAAACTAAAATAGCAGCTGCCATATATATATATATATATATATACACACATACAGATAGGTATATTAACATTAGGGACTTATGAGAAAATCAACTGAGTTAAGGAAAGATCTTTTAGATATAACTCTATTAAAATCTGTAGGTCAAATGCCGAGGCAGAAGACAGTCTTTAAAGTGTAATCCTGATGCTTGGAAAAAACAATGCAAGGAACTATTGAGCCTCATTTATGAACGTGAAGACTCGGAGCCATTTCGACAGCCAGCTGATCTTCTTTCTTACCCAGTAAGCATACAGTTGTTTAAATAATTGTCAGTATGATAATTTCCCATAAATGTCCATGCTAAAATCTAGATAAGAGCAATTTTCTCACCTCTCCTTTCCTTTCTTTTTTTCCAGTCTTTTGATTGTGAAAGTAGTAGTGTGATTAGTGTGATTTTTAAAAAAATGTAATTGTGTCTTCAGTGTGTAAATTATACAGTTGTAAAACAAAAATTTAAATCAGAATTCATTTGCTGTTCTTTCCGACTTTTATTTCAGACGTTTATTTAATACATTTTACTAACCTCGAATACACCTCTGTACACTGTAGATGTTTGGTGACATGTCAATCCTGTGTAATTTATACTGAATGTGTTATCAATATGGCCACTTAGAGTAACCAGTATACCAGTATGACTTTTCTTTTCTTTACTTTTTTTTAATTTATATATATATATATATTTTATTATACTTTAAGTTCTAGGGTACATGTGCACAACGTGCAGGTTTGTTACATACGTATACATATGCCATGTTGGTGTGTTGGTGTGCTGCACCCATTAACTCGTCATTTACATTAGGTATATCTCCTAATGCTATCCCTCCCCCCTCCCCCAACCCCCAACAGGCTCCGGTGTGTGATGTTCCCCTTCCTGTGTTCAAGTGTTCTCATTGTTCAATTCCCACCTATGCGTGAGAACATGCGGTGTTTGGTTTTTTGTCCTTGAGATAGTTTGCTGAGAATGATGGTTTCCAGCTTCATCCATGTCCCAACCCAAATGTCCAACAATGATAGACTGGATTAAGAAAATGTGGCACATATACACCATGGAATACTATGCAGCCATAAAAAATTATGAGTTCATGTCCTTTGTAGGGACTTTTCTTTTCAATAAAGGTAAAAGGATGAGAACTTTGATTGTAGGATTTCTTTCCTGGGAGTGTATCTATTCATTGAAGTAGTATAGATAGCAAATCTATTTTAACTTTCTCAGAGAAGAGGTACAGCACTATTTTAGAAATACATCAGACCGTCCTATGAGCTTACTACACATTGGTCTTCTCTGTATACTGTAGGTCTCAGTTGGGAAAAAATATCATTCAAGTAAGGAACGAGATTGTGTTCAACAGAACTTGTTTGCTTGTAGGGAATTTGGGTAAAATAAATTAGTCTTGTGTTTTTCATAGCAAAGGAGAATGACGAATGTACAATTCCTTCACCTTAAAGTACAGCCGATAAAACATGATTCCAGTGTATGGATCTTTGAGACTTAAGTCATAATTGTATTACACGTCTTGATATTTTGTTATAGTTGTCTGGAAACCAGTATATGTTCTTCACCCTAATAGGGTCATCAGGAGCAAGAGGGAGAATCCTCAGAGTCTGTTGTTCCAGAAAGACAACAAGATTCATCTCTTTCTGAGGTAGGCCTGGTAGTCTCTTAAAAGACATATTGATTGTTTTTACTTTCTAAACTCTCCATACTGTACATGAATCTTATAGTTTGTAAGGACTGCCTTCTAACTCTGCTCCCCTTTTTACCTTTGTTTGATTTTTTGGTCATTTATTTTTTTGTTCCTCTTTCTGAATCAACATGTGTTCTCAAGACTGTTCTTTGTATCCTCCTTGTAAATGTTTACTTTTTTATGTAGATCTGAAGCTACTGCAGCAGAGTAGAAAACATCAATTACACAATATAATTGTGTCTGTATTGCAGCTGATTATTCCCACTGGGACTTCATTCAGCAAGCAGTCTGAGTCTTTTAAATTTTGGTCATCATACTACACAAGTTCTAACATAAGCCATACTGTGTTAGAATATACTTCTGTTTTTTTATGATTTAAGAAAATAAGATATATTTAGAACGTTTGTCATTTCTTCTCATACTTTGAAAAATATTTTCTCTCTTTTTATAATACCATTTATCTGCCCCTTCTGGCTTTTTGGCTTTTTCCTAGGAGGGAAATGTGGAGATTTTACTTCTTGATGATTCTAAATACAATAAGGGATCTAATACTGAGTATGGTTTTCACTCTGAAACTTGTTTTTGAGGCTTGTAGCATATATAGGAATTAAATATCAGATGTAACTCCATCTGATAACCCTAGGAAAATCTTTACTGGATTTAGGTTAAAATGAAATCTTTCCTCTTCCCTAATCAAAATCAAATGAATTATGGACCTATAAGATGGAAGACCTTCGATGAAGCAAAGGTATCACATTGATTTAAAATCAAGAAGGAGAAAGGCACAAACATGACCAATTTGACCCTGACCCTTAACTAATGACACTTAAGTAGAATGTTCTCATAGCAAGGAATCGTGGAAATATGTGCCTAATTTGTAGAGTGGAACAATTTAATCATATGTGAATAATCCCATCTTTTATCATTAAACAGTGTGCTGGGGTTTTGGAGGTTGTATCAGCCTTTAAGCAAGACATGGAAGCTGTAGAGATGAAGCCAACGGCTATGGATTTTCTATTCTTTACCTTCATAGTTATTTACGGTTATTACTGTGGTGTGAGGGCTAAGGCTTTCCCACAGACTTATGCTGTTTTTATGAGCCACCAAAAGATGTTTTGGGGTTGTGGGGAGGTAGTTGGCACATTGAAAAGCAATGTGTTTATTTCATGGTGGATCGTAGTAGGTGATACCAATTTTAGTCCCATTGTATTCCTTAATATTGCTATACAGTATTTAATAACACATTCTTCTTTGTAGGATTATCAAGATGTTATAGATACTCCTGTGGACTTCAGCACTGTGAAAGAAACTTTGGAAGCAGGAAACTATGGTAGTCCTCTGGAATTTTATAAGGATGTTCGCCAAATATTCAACAACTCCAAAGCTTATACCTCTAATAAAAAGTCAAGGGTATGATTATTAGTTGGGTTAATTATCAGGCAGTTTTCTTTAACCAGTTACTGAAAATTGGTCCTCAGTATCTTTTTTGAAACATGGATTGCTTGTTAGGCATGCATAAAGATACATTTAGCAGTCATTCTGAAATTAACCACCTTTTCCTTTCTCTTATTTGTCTCTTTACTCTTTAGTAATAAATATTTATAGGTACCAGAGAAAAAACAAGGAGAGGAGAGGTAGTAATTTAAGTACACTTTAATATAATAAGTGACTTAATAAATAGAAAGGTGATTGACAGTGTTGATTTATGTGAAATATTTTTATTAGCTCTGAACATGTATGTTCCATTTATTCTAACAAATAATGAACCATCTTGGGAAGTTGTAACTGCTTATTTATACTCACATTTAATATCTTCCCTATTTTTGTCAGAACTTAAAGTATATTGAGAATAGAAAAATAGTAATCAAGTTTTTCTTTTGAAATCACTGGTATCTGATTAGCTTTTAATCAGTTGCACAGTAAATATATATTTGCCTACTTCCACTTTATGGAAAATGCATTTCCACTAATTTCTGCAAACATAATTTGTTTACACTTGCTTCCCCCTCCCCCTTGATCCTGATTGCTAGAGTAACATTTTCTATAGAAAGTTTGGGAAACACAGAAGTATAAAGAAGAAAACAAAAATCACCTGTGAAACCTATCACCTATTTTTACTTACAGTTACTGTTTACTTCCAGGATTTTCTACATTAACACATATATCTACATATGCTTATAAATTCTTTAAAATAGTGGATTTCGTATTTTGAAGCATTTTTTGTTACTTAAGTGTTATGAATGTTTTCCTGTATCTCATGACTCTTTGAAAACAAGGTTTTTAATGGTATTCTGTTGTGTGGTTGTTTTATGTTATACTAACCAGTGTTCTTTGGCTAGGGATTTAGGTTGTTTCCAGTTATCCATTTTACATGAATAATGCTATAGGTAATATCTTTAACATTATTGAATATATTTTTTATGTATATAATTCTGTGATATTTCCTTAGGACAAATTCCCAGAAGTAAAATTACTAGCCAAAGGATGTGTGTATCTTTAAGGTTTTTTTGTACAGACTGCATATTGTCCTTTAGAATGCTGTTTCAGTTTACATTCTCTCTTGCATTGTATCAGAGTCTTTTTTTCCCTACCTTTTAGAACATTGAATACTATATTTGAAAAACATTTATTTTAGGTGAAAATGGTATCTTACTTTAGTTATTTGAGAAGAATTTTTCAAGTGAACAGATATTTTGTCTGTAATGATGATGCTTAATATTGGTCTAGGCATGTTTATACCTTTTTTTAAAATATAAAACTAGTTAAGACTATATAATTTCTGCCTTCTCAGATCTATAGCATGATGCTGCGATTATCTGCCTTATTTGAAAGTCATATCAAAAATATCATCTCTGAATATAAGTCAGCAATCCAGAGTCAGAAGAGGAGAAGGCCACGGTACAGAAAACGTCTAAGAAGCAGCAGCAGTTCATTATCTAGTAGTGGAGCACCTAGGTATCATTACATTGATGCAACATTTTTTGTTCTCAAAGCATTTTGTATGTATTACCTAATTTGTGAAAGTTTATGAATAATTTGGGGAGATCCCAAGAGGTCTTTTTTTGTTTGTTTCCTAAACTCTTATGCCTATGTAGAGTTAGTAATCAAAAGTACTATTTATGTGGGTTTTACTATCCCAGAAACTTTTTTTAAATTTTAATGATTGAAGTTTCACTGTCAAATTATCTATTTCATGAATTTTAGGGCATTTCTTCTTTGGCCAGCTAATACCTGACCTTGATACCTCTTTGTATCATACTGTCTATCATAATATGTTGCTAACAGAAAAAAAAAAATGCTCGTTGTTACATATTTTTACTTCTAGTCCAAAAGGGAAGCAGAAACAAATGAAGTTGCAGCCTAAAAATGACCAGAATACCTCAGTATCTCATGCCAGGACTAGCTCTCCTTTCTCATCTCCTGGTAAATATGTCTTTTGTTTTTGGTGTTCTGCATCTCGGTTTAATTCTGATATTAAGGATATAGAAGAGGCAGCATGGTTTATAGTGCAAAGAACAATGGATTTAGATTTTTAAAAGTTGTGCTTTATTCCCAATTCTACTTGCTAGTTTTGTGTCCCTGAGTATGACATTAGGCCATATGATTCCTTTTCTTTATTAGACTACATGAAAAGTCTCTTAGTTTTAAAATTTTATGATTAAATGATGCCTATAATATCTCAGAGCACTTATCTACAATATATTTACCAACATAATATTTGAAAATTTATGATGAGCAATTGGACAAGTTTTTCTGACATTCAACCCTTTGTTCTCAAAATATTCATATCATTTTCTTAGAGAAACTTATAATTTTGGTGTTAGAATAAAATAACAGAGATATGGTTTCAAAAAGTAGCCTGTTTAACTTTCCTGAAAACATGATAATTATGTTAGTATTAAAATCTTTTAAAATGTAAGTTTCAGATGCTGCTGAAGGGCTTTCACTATATCTACTTGATGATGAGCCAGATGGGCCATTTTCTTCATCGAGCTTCGGTGGATATAGCCGAAGTGGAAATAGCCATGACCCAGGGAAAGCCAAATCATTTCGGAATAGAGTTTTGCCAGTTAAACAAGGTAGGAAATAAATACAGGACAAGACATTTATTATTTATTTCTTTATGATAGCAGATAAATCATTTAAAAGCTGACATGTTGACATACTAAAAACTAGTATATCCTTATAGTTAATGAGAATTCTGTCACATATGAGTCAGATGGCATTTCATATTCATAACTGGGAACAGGCCATTAGCAGATTTCCAATAGCTATTTTCAAATGTATTTTAGTCTTAAAACGTAAAATGGGGCCAGGCGTGGTGGCTCACACCTGTAATCCCAGCACTTTAGGAAGCTGAGGTGGGAGGATCACTTGAGGCCAGGAGATCGAGATCAACCTGGACAACAAAGCAAGACCTAATCTCTACAAAAAAAAAAAAAAAAAAAAAGTAGCCACATGTGGTGGCATACAACTCATACCTACTCGGGAAGCTGAGGTGGGAGGAGCGCTTTAGCCAGGAGTAGGAGACTACAGTGAGCTGTGATTGTGCCACTGCACTCCAGCCCGTGTGACAGAGTGAGACTCTGTCTCAAAAATAAATAAATAAAATAAAAGGAATTGGGAGAAAAAAACTAAATGAAGAGTTCTTTCCCCAAGCACATGAAGACACATTTAGGATTTTTCATATTTTTCATATTAATAAGAAAGGAGAGTTTCCAAAGTCATCTTTAAATAGGTCTCATATTTTTGTGGCCCACTGCAGTAAAAATATGAGTCTGGGCTGAGAAATGAGCCTTCTTTCAGTCAATAACCGCTTCTACCACCTTCCTTAAGGTTTTCCAGTTATGTAAGTCAGATATCCTCTTCCTTAGGGGCCTGCTATATCACAAAGTCAGTGGTTTTCAGACTGTGCCCTGCCCATTTCTGGGGCATCCACAAAAGTACTTCAGGCATTCTCAGAAGAACCTTCTGCATTTAACCAGACAGTTCTGTTTGTTATTTCATATAAGGAGATGCTATTTTACTTTTTATTAGGAGAAAAATGTTCACTGCTTAAAAAGAAACACTGACCTAATTCATTATGTGCGTCTATCTTGGACCATACAAGGGACATCAATTATCATAAATATTTGAAGTTTATTGTTACTCAAACTTTCTTCTTATACTTAGGCCTATATTAGGGACCTTGAATGTATTTAGAGAAAGTTCTAACATGTTCAGCTATTTGAAGTTTGTGAAGAATAGTTAATATGCTTTTACAAATAATTTTATTAGAATATAGATTTTATTTTATATACATTTTAATGCAAGATTAAGTAGCTTATCCATTGTTATTTAACCATCAAATAACTTAAAAATAGGCTTTTCTGAAGATATTTTATAGTGGCTATGTAAGAAATGTTGAAACATATTTGATTACTTGAAAATAATTAGTGCCTTTGTTTTTCCCAGTTTACATCTTTAGTGTCTCCTCTGATCTTGCATACTTATGCCATTGCCTTTTTTCATTTTACCCTTCCTTCCACTGCCAAGATTAACCCATGCTTCCTTCATCTATTTTGTTTTTCCCATCCACAGAGTCGTTTATCCTTTATAGTACGGTGTCTGTCCCGACCACCCTTCAAAAGCTGTTCTCACATTCATCAGTACTCTTCAGTGGCCAACTAGCGTCTTTTTTTAGTTTCAATCTCTATATCATTGCATGTTGTTGACTACCTTCTCTATGAACTCTACTTGTAAGCTTCTATACTCTATTGATTAGCTTATATCTCTTATTTCTGTTTCTTCTCTTTGACTCTACTGCTCTGTATTTGCAGTTTGCCACTGTTTTTTGCTTGTTTTTGTCTTCCACAAATAAAGGATTCTAATGACTGCATCCGTCATCTTGATGTGATGACTCTCCAAATGCATATGCAGAGCTTAAATATCTCTTTATTCTATTAGAATAATTTCCAAGTGCTTCCTTAAAAAATAAAAAAATAAAAATATTCGGTTGCTTATCTTCGCATCTCAAACTTGCTTCTTTTTCTGTGCTCACTATTTTAGTTAATGGCATAACCATCTTTCTTGCCACCCAGCTTAAAATCTCACAGTGTTTTTTGACTCTTCATTTATCCCTCATACCTAGTCAGTTGCCAAGTTTTGTGGATTCCACAACTCTTTAATACCACTTAAATCTTCTATATAGTTTCTACTGCTATCACCTTAGTCTCCAGCCTGAAGTATTAGTCAGCTTGGGTTTCCATAACAAGATACCACAGACTGGGTGGCTTAAACAGCAGACATTCATCTTCTCACAGAGCTGGAGGCTCAGTCCATTGTGAAAGTGCCATATGGGTGGGTATCTGATAAGGGCTTTTTCCCTGGCTTCTATATGTCCACCTTCTTGCTTTGTCCTCACGTGGCCTTGCCTCTACAGAGAGACAGAGGGAAATACCTCTAGTATCTCTTCCTTTTCCTTTAAGAACATCAGTCCTGTTGAGTTATAGTCCCACCCATATAACCTCATTTAACCTTAATTACCTCCCTAAATGCCCTAATCTCCAACTGCAGTCACTTCGGGGATTAGGGCTTCCACATATGAATTTTGAAGGGACACAATTCAGTCCATAACACCCAGACTTATTAGGTTAATCTTGTAATTATCTACAGCCCTAGTCTTCTTTTCAATTCTTCCAGTCTGCTCTCTTGTTTCCTACCGACCCCACTGGCTGGTCCTCCATTTTCTTTGTTGGTTCTTCTTTATCTTTAAATGTTTGAACATCTCAAGTCTCAGTCTTCAGCCACGTTGTCTCTCTTTACTTACTCACTCAGTGAGCTCTCCTAGTTCTCATTACCCTAAATATTATCTCTTTACTGAAAATTTCCGCAATTATATCTCCAGCTCTACCCTCTCCCCTGAGCTCCAGACTGGTATATCTACCTGCTCTTTATTTCTTTTTTTTAAAAAAATGTCTTGTCTTGGATCTCTGTCAACATCTAAAATGGAATCTTGAGCCCTGCTCAAACCTGTTGCTCCTTCAGTGTTCTCTACCTTGGCAAAATATCTCTACCATTCACCCAGTTGCTTTGGCCATAAAACCTAGGAGTCAGTCTTCATTCTGTGCTTGACACTTGACATATAGTCTGTCAGCAAGTCCCATCAGTTCAACCTTTGAAATTAAAGGTTTCTCTAGAAGGAAATATTCCAAATATAATCACTTATCATCACATCTATTGACATATCCTTTGTCATGTCTTACCTAGAATACTGCAGTGGATGCCCAACTGGTCTCTCCTTCCACTTTCAGTCTTGCCTCCCCTGTGATCTTTTTTATATACAGCAACCATACTATTTTAAAAGTGTAAATCAGATTCTTTCTCCAGCTTAAAACTCTCCACTGGCACTCATCTCCTACTACTCACTGTTTTTCTATTCCACTCTGGTTATACTGGCTTGCTTTCTGTTCCCTCCTCTGGAATGTTCTTTCCCTACATCTGACTTCATTCAGTTATTTCTTCTAATACTACCTCTGTAGAGAAGTCTTCCCTATCTAAAATACATTCCCTTCTACACATATACACTCTTTTTTTAATCCTCTTTATAACATGTCTGTGTGAAATTTTATTATTAATTTATTCACTTTGTTATCTTTCAAGGTATTCCCACTAAAATATAAATTCCAACAGCAAGGACTGTCCCTTTCATTGCCGTATTCAAAGCTTCTAGCAATGCCTTGCTAATAGTAGATAATGAATAAGAATTTATCAACCGAATGAATGAAACTATACTAATTAGTGTTCTCAGGTAATTCTTCCTGAAGTAGGCCCTTAAAACTTCTGCCTAAACCTCATGGCCATCATTCCACCCCCATATTCTCCTCCCTCTCCCAAAAAAGCAGACAAAAATAAACACTTTAATATCTTCTATTTTGAAGAAATTTAAGTTCTTAGTCTGACACCCTCCATGATTGTATTCCACATATTTTTGGGAACTGTAGACTGTTTTTGAACCTAAATAACCATTTTGTCAATGTCAAAGCTTAACTATTAAAAATCATTCATTTTAATTTAGATCACTCCCTTGATGGACCCCTTACAAATGGTGATGGCAGAGAGCCCCGGACAGGAATCAAGAGAAAACTACTTAGTGCATCAGAAGAAGATGAAAACATGGGAGGAGAAGATAAAGAGAAAAAAGAAACAAAAGAGAAATCTCATTTATCCACCTCAGAGAGTGGAGAGTTAGGATCCAGTTTAAGTTCTGAAAGTACCTGTGGTTCTGACTCTGACTCTGAATCAACTTCCAGAACAGATCAAGATTACGTAGATGGAGACCATGATTATAGCAAATTCATACAAACCAGACCTAAAAGAAAACTCAGAAAGCAACATGGCAATGGAAAAAGAAATTGGAAGACCAGAGGCACAGGAGGAAGAGGCAGATGGGGAAGATGGGGTAGATGGAGTAGAGGAGGCAGAGGAAGAGGAGGCAGGGGACGAGGGAGTCGAGGAAGAGGTGGAGGTGGCACTAGGGGGAGGGGAAGAGGGAGAGGAGGAAGAGGTGCTTCTAGAGGAGCTACCAGAGCCAAACGAGCACGTATTGCAGATGATGAATTTGATACCATGTTTTCAGGACGTTTCAGTAGACTGCCTCGAATTAAAACAAGAAACCAAGGCAGGAGGACTGTTTTATATAATGATGATTCTGATAATGACAATTTTGTGTCCACTGAGGATCCTCTGAATCTTGGTACATCCAGATCAGGCAGAGTGCGTAAAATGACAGAAAAAGCCAGGGTTAGCCATCTCATGGGATGGAATTATTAACAGTTAATAAATTTAGAATAACTTAAAAAATTCAATGGCCTTCTACTGCAGGGAATTTACCAGGAAATCTACAAAGCAAGTTGTGTGGGGACTTCTGCTTCCTTTCACATTGGTGCTTTTCCATTTATGCCAGTATACATTTGTTTCAAGACTTTTGATCTCCACACTTCATTTGTTCAAATAAGCCTTACTCATTAGGCCTTAAATTAAAAGAAATTCTGCCCACACACACACAAACACATACACACACATACACACACACAGACACACACACACGAAACACAACACAGACACTACAGATTTACTACATTAAAGGAGCATTCAGCTTCTTAAGAGTAGCATGACATTTTTATCTCAATAGAATAGCCCTCTTTTGCTTTTGTATCACAGAAGTATAGCACCTTCTTACAGAGTTTTATATAGTTTGTTTTTGCCATTTTGATTCCTATACCCAGTAATAATAACTTTTGCACAATACACCAATCCTAAAGGCAGCTATTAAATGTTTACAGTTTCTATATTGTAAGAGCGATCTGGATTATTTTACTCTTCCCAGGCCAAACTTTCATGACTTGTACTGAACTGAAGTATATATTTATACTACAGTTTTTTGGGGGGTGGGGGGATCTTGATATGCTTTTCATTGATTTGCATAATTCACGTTAAAGGTGAGAAAGGGTTGGTGCCTTGTAAATATGTAGCAGATCTTCGTGGTGTGTTCTGATGTGTGCATTAACTTTATTAAAAAAGAATACTTGAGGTATCAATCTAGACAAGGTGCCAAATGCAAAAGTTTCCCGCATCAATTTTTTTCCTATCACATTTTATTGCATTAATAGAATTTGTGTAGCTTAAATAACTTAAACATTTGAAAAATCCTCATCCACAAAGAACAACTTCTTTGAACAGTAGCTCAGCTACCTCTTAACTACAACTACTGGAAACATTAAGGAAAATAGATGCTGTTATTCCTTACTGACTAAGGAGAAATAGAACAAGCTTAGTAGGAATGAATACCCCATAAGTTATAAGCTGAGAGGTTGTTAATAATTGTATTGGCTCTCAAATTAATAATTGTAATTAACAAAGTTTCATAAATATAGTATGCTCTACCACCTTAGGCTTTCTTAGAACATATTTGTGTAAGTAGACTTGGGCTACTGCTTATATATTTCTGCTCCACTTACCATTTAACAGCTGTGAGTTGCTGGTTTTCATTTGAATCTTAAAATTTAACAAAGCACCTGGTTTGATTTGGAATGTTTTGGCTAGCTAGTATTATGAATCAACTTATAGATTCTGCTCATATCATTCCAAAGGGTTCTTCTGTTCTAGTCTTTCAGGAAAGAACCTTATTGCACTGCACACTCATGTTGTGAATCATTATTTTATAGATAAAAAACATCTTTAAAAACCCTTATTGTCTTGTTTACAGCAGTAGAGTGCACATGGTTCCATAAGTGAGCTTGAGTTCCAAGGTCAGTTTTACTCCCCAAATTTAATATTACAGATTTGTTCATTTGTTAGATACTTACATTTCTGAGGTAAGAGGGATAATAGCAATTTCTGTTTCTGTAACAGCAAATTTGTTGCACTTAGATCAGGCTCATGGGATAAAACAGACTTCTTAGTATATACCTAGCTATCCCAGGATATTTCTTAAGCTAATGTGTTTGTCTCATGCTTTCAATCATTTCATGCATCTGAAAACCCTTAAGTGCAGAGGAAGGCGTACACACATAAAACTTTGCTTTTTTGGTAGGGTCGGCAGTAGGGTTATTCTTGGACTAACATCTTTAAGCAGTTTTCACTTGCAGTGGAAATGATGTTCAGGCTTTAAGAGAAAGTATTGTGAATTGTTAATGGCACTAACTTCTGTTACTAGACAGCAGACCAAGCTATTTTTTTGTTGTAGTCTTTTTTTCACTAAACCAAAACTACTTCTGGTTGTAACTCAGCTGCCACTTTAAACCATAGTAGAGATTCAAAACGTTCCTATTTGAAACTACATTTGATTTTTGCTAAAATGTGCTGTTTCGGTTATTTATCTCTTGGGCATTTAGACTAAATTGTGCCTGTATTCCTGAAATCAATAATACTTTGGCTTATCCTGATCTAAGTAACATAGTTACTTAAATTCCTGGATATACCCAAATATGGATCACATGTATCATTTTAGTTTGAAATTTTTTGTTGACATTCTTCTATGAAGAGCTGACCTCTTGAAATGTAGAAGAATTGACATTTGTGTGATTTTGGCTATCTGGAGCTTTATTTATAATTTATTTTGAAAAATAAAAATGCCACATTTATTTCCCAAATGTCAAGATTTTCTAGAATTAGATAATTAGAATAATAAGGCTGAAGACATTTTAAAGCATATTTTATATGTAGTGAAATACTGTGAAAATATTAGTGAACAGCATTTTGCTGTAATGTTTATTTCAGTTATTAAGATTTAAAGAGTTAGTCATCAGGGTATGTTAGATAAACATAGTTATCATTTATTAAACAAACAGATAATTTTCTGTTTGCATGCAAATTATTTTAATAAGTGTGAAAATAAAAGTTTGGAAGATAGTATTTTTACTTTTATATCTGGACTTTTTTTTCCCCCAATTTACACTTTGCTTTCTTGTAATACCACCTCCTGTGAATGTGTTGTAATTAGTATCACATTGATTACTTTATCATTTTAATTTCTTTGAGGCCCTTTAAACCTACGTAAAATCTGGGTCCAGCCATAGCAAAGCAAGTACAAAATGAACAAAGAATTTTGAAGAAAAGCCTAAATCTTAAATTGCTAAGAAAAAACACTGTTATATTTAGGCCCGTGAGAGCATATACATGTATAAACCTAATCCTATGCTAGATATGAATAGTCAGTGAGCTGTAATATTTCTCATAAATGCTAATAATGTTTAAATTCCCAGCTTTAAGATCTTAGTGTGTGTATATATTTATAAAATCTGAATTGTGTGTTTCTTCTATGGCTTACTGTGTGTTTCTCTTTCAGCAATAGGATGCTCTCTAAAACATTCACTAGCCTACTAGCCTACTTACTAAATTTTTGTATATGTGTGTTTGTGCACTTGTATGTGTGTAAAGTTTTTTCCCCAACTTGACACACCTTATCTCAGACATTCAAAAAAAGAGAACATTTTGTATGGAGGACAGTCTGCCAACTTTTTGCCTCTCTACAGCTCTTAGCCTGTATATTTACTGCTTGATCATTCATTATGCCTTCTAGATAACCAGTCCAGGTTTTGTCATATACCTGTGTCCCTCTATTCTTTTTATTTCCCTTTTTAATTTTTTTTCTTTTTTTTCCCTCCCCAGAAATCAGGCTTGTGTTGGAATTCTTCTCTATAATACTTTGTTTCCCGCAGATGCAAAGTAACAAAGTAACTGAGTAAAATTAGAAATCTCATTCTGCACAACTGTGCGCTCAGATATTTAACTCAGCCTTCTAATACTTTTAAGTACGTTTCTGTTATTTATCTTTTTGTTGTTTTTGTTTTAATCCCATAGATTGTCATCAGACAATAATAGAGTGATTGAGAGAGAAAGATATAAATGCCACTTCTAACTTTTTGATAAAACTTTTTTGAGCATTTTTCAAAAATTTGTATGTTTGTGGTAATGGGGAATTAAACACCTTTTACAGCTGATGTATGTTGGAAATCATTTTATGTACATTTACCAACTGGTACTTATCTTCAAGTTGGAATTTTCACATCCATAAAAGGGAGACTTGCATCATATATAATTTTCAGTATACTTTGCTGTCCAGCCTTTTAAACAATTACAGTAACATTTTGAGTTCTGTGATGAATAGTTCTAGGGGAAGGGATGGAACTTTCGACATGTAAAGTCCATTGTTTTAAATGCTAACCCCATCCCCAATATTTTTGTGGAACGTGAGGCTTTATGAAAGGTTTATCAGAAATAGAATATTCTAAAGTCACTTTTATGGCTTATTTCAAAAACTAGTGTGAAAGTATTTTCATGCTTTTTTGTTTCTCATCTTTTAGCAAAGCTTCTTTACCAAGTTTTGATTAAATTGCAATATAAAATTAAGTTTTTTCACGGTGCTATATTTTGTGGAATATGGGTAGCACTCAGGTTTCTTTCTTTTTTCTTTTCTCCTTCCTTCTTCCTTCATTCCTTCATTCCTCCCTCCCCCCTCCCTCCCTCCCTCTCTTCCTTCCCTCCTTCCTTCCTTCCTCACCTCGGCCTCCCAAAGTGCTGGGATTACAGGCATGAGCCACCGTGCCCGGCCTATATACCCTTATTCTTGATTATTTCTTTTTTCATCTTTTCAATCCTGCTTACTTTTATCCTCACTTTTCTTTCTGCCATGAAAACTGCACCTAATTTACCACACTTAAGATTGGCAATTTTTGATTCATTGATGGGAGAAGTACAGTAGAAAGGCCCTGCAGTTTAGAATTAAGTTGTGTTTGTTTATTTACATGTATGCCCATTTCTTCTAAATTAAATCTAGAATGTGAGACTTTGACATATAAAAGCATGATAAGTATTTTCTTAAAAAATAAGACTATTGATACATAATGAAACCACCATTGGTAATTGAATTTTAAAATGATATGCAAAAATATTTAGAAATCCAGTTGGGAAATGTGTTTTTGCATATGTCACCAGATACACATTAGGCAGTACTACAAATGTTAATTCTTAAACAATACTGTGGTGATGGCAATCAGTAATTTATTTCTTTGTCCTGTAACTTATCATTCTTGTCTTTTGTAATGTCTTACACAGTATTAACATAACTGTACCTTTTTTTTGTTCTTGGTATCCATACATTTTAAGATGGAAAATCAGTTCATAGTTGATATGATATTGTATATGGGCAAAATGTCCGTTAAACTAAAATTCAGTAAAAAAGGTAATATAAACTGGCTTGATTTATAAAAGATGTTTTGTTTGGCAGTTATCAGTCATTATAAGCAATTATCTTCAAAGACAAAAAAACTGGACTAATTTGTTGCCATTCTTTATGGGATGTTTACAATAAAATTCCAAGTTGTTTGGAATCAATTGCACTCTTGCTGCTTTATGCCTTAATTTATGTACCAGAGAAAAATTAACCAGAAGAAAGAAATATGGAGTTACCTATTCAGCTTTAGAGATTGTAACATGTAACTCTTAGGTCTTTCTTGTTTCTTTGTCATAGAATATTTTATTACTATTACTTTTTAATCTGAGAAACTAGGATGCTTCTTCCTATCAAAGAAAAGGTTTTGTTTTTTGTTTTCATCTTAGACATTGCAAATATTCTTTGGGTCACTTTTAGGATAATAAATATGATGTTTACACTTTAAATGTGGGCTGCTTGGTGCATTCAATAACAGCCTGCAAAGCATTTGTCAACATTTTGTTTTGCAGAGCTTTTCAAAATGAATAGATCTCTAACATATTTATGACTTACAACTTTTAACAGCTGAGTTATATGTACCTGACATTTTAAAATGTATAGTAAGATTACCTACATTGTAAATGGTGCTTTAATTCAGTGTAAGTGTAGGAGAGAGAGAAGTGAGGTGAGATGATCTGAATGCTCTAACAGGAACATTCATAACTATATAGTTACCCAGAATTTGTCTCCCAGTGGCAAACATTCCACTAGGTTCAAGATAAATAAGCTGGCCAAAGACTGGACTGTATCTTTGATATATATATACTGTGTATTTTGTGTATTTAGAATAAAAAAAATGCATTTAGGAAAAAAGTAGACTGATTTTTTACAATATTCAGAGATTGAAGTGGAGATAAGTTGTTTGGTATTTTTGTTTAGTTGCTTAATTGGTTAGAGATAGCCCTCTTTAAGGATATAAAAATCTTACATTAAAAATTTTTGGTTAAGGCCAGGCACAGTGACTCACGTTTATAATCTCAGCATTTTGGGAAGCCATGGTGGGAGGATTATTTGAGCCCAGGAGTTCAAGACCAGCCTGGGCAGCATAGTGAGACACCGTATCTACAAAACAATTTTTTTTTTAATTAGCTGGGCATGGTTGTGTGTGCCTGTAAGTCCCAGGTACTTGGGAGACAGGTGGGAGGATCACTCGAGCCTGGGAGGTCAAGGCTGCAGTGAGCTGTGATCATGCCACTGCACTCCAGCCTGGGGATCCATTTTTTTTCCAAGTTGAGAAGGTCAAGAAAAAGGTGCTCTCCATCCTCTCTCAATTATATGTTCTTGACAATTTAAAGCTACTTTACCAAAATGTGCAAAATAAAACCAATATATTGAGCCTGTGAGTTGATCTTTTGAATGAGATTTTTGGTGGGATAGTTAAGCCTATACGCTTACAGTTGCTTTCTCAGGTCATTTATATAAATACTTAAGGGCTTTTTAATGCTACAAAACACAGGTAGATCAAACAATAATATTAAATGAAGTAAACTTTTTACGGTATCGATTTTTCCCCCAAAGTTCTAGGGAAACATTTTCCTTTCCTTTCTATGTAACTTTAATAGATTTTTCTTTGCCATCTGTGACAATTGCCTTAATGAAGTTCTTATCTACAGATTATAAACATCTAATTATAATTATAAAATCTTATAATTTTAATTATTCTAGACATCTAGTTTTAACAGTTATTAATTAACAAATTGATATTTAATTTGATGTTGGAGACCTAAAAGTCTTTCTGAATCTAGTATTAATTTTGAATTGCCACCTTGCCTGGTCAGCATCTTTGCAGTTCTCTTCAATTTTATAAGTTTTGTAAGTAAATATATGAAGAAATAAAAACATTTTAAATTCTTTAATTTAGGTGACTAATATTAATTGATGGAGCTTATTCATTTTTAAGGATTTTTGTGGTTGATTTTTGTCATGTTGCAATTCTAGTTAGAATTTGTATAACAACATGTTAATTTGTATTGGCAATTTTGTATAGTCTGTTAAGTAATTTAAGTCAAGGAAACTGCTAACGTGTTCCCTCCTCCCTTGGCTTTTAAAAAAAAGCTTACAATATGTTTAAATGAAATTTGCATAACAAATTGTGTAATAGATCATTTGAAAAGTACTGTTTTGTTACCCTTGAGTATTATTCATCTAAAATATTAATAATGAAGTGCTGGTAGTTCTGAATTATTTCCGTACGTTTAATTTATAAATTAGATTCAGTATTGTTTATAAAACAAGTGTTTTTGTCTAGTCTGACCCTATAGAGCAAAAAATATGCCCATGATATCCTCATAGTCATGAAATTACCAAGTAATCCTTTTACTTTTGTAGATTTGTGTTCATTTTTATTCTAAATGTGGTTAGTCGTTTTCATAAGAAAAAGAAGTTACTAAAACAAAACAGTAGTTGAAGGTTGTGGTACATACATTTTTGCTTTCCGTTTTTTTCAAAAATTTAAGACTGCTGAACACAACGACAAGTTTTTAACACTAAAAATACCTTTTATAAGTTTGCTTGTAAGTATTCAAGCAGAAATTCTCAGAGAATTATCTGAGATAATGAGCCACATTCTTTCTCTAAACATGTGTTGGTATCTCCTTCAAAAAAGATGTTTACCAGTGGGCAGTTGTAGCCTGTTCTCTTCATATTAGTGATAAGAAATGACTTAAAAAAAAAAAAAGACTAGACTGTTGCTACCTAGATTTGTTCACTTTTTTATTCATTCATTCAGCATTTACTGAGTGTCTTCTATGTGCCAAGCACTATAATTTTATAAAGAGCTTTACAGTTCACAAAGTCCATAATCTCAGTCATCAGAATGACATCAGTTAATTTCATTTTTCAGATCAGAAAGATGAGTTTTAGTGAAATCAAGTAATTTGCCTAAGCCTACATGGCTGGTAACTAGAAAAGCCTTGATTCATCCGGCATATCTGCTTCCAGGTTTCTCGTCTTAACTTTTATATCTTATTAATAAGATGTTTTGTTCTTTCTTTCTTCCCAATCTCTATGAAATGGAGACTTCTAAATCATGCCTGTGTATCTTGAAAATAACATTTCTTTTTGCTTCTGGCTCAGATCTTTAATAAAGAGGACCTTGAGATATGGATCTTCAAACATCTTAGTGCTTTGGAATTTTTAAAACTACCAGGTTTGGAAGTAGAAAAATGATTGAAGCTCAAATGATTGAATTGTATATCTTACACACTCTTACAAAAAGGCAAATGCCCAAGAAAAGTGTAGAGAATTTACTCCTATCTTATTTTGAAGATTAACTGTGCTAATATACACAAATGTGCTTTGCAATGTGTGACTTTGAAGAATGATCTGTTATTGCAGTCTTCCCTACTCTATGCTTCCTTGCCAGTGCAAAACCTTGAACTTTGAGTTCAAACGGGTTTCAGGTACAGTTCTCAGAGAACGCAACAGGGTTCCTGACTTAATCCCTAAGTTTAATTTAGGGTTTTTGTTTTGGGGTGTTTTTACTTTACATCCTTTGAACTGTCTCTCAGTTTTACTCATTATTTAATGTGTCACTCCTCTTCTCTTTTTGAGACGGAGTTTCGCTCTTGTCACCCAGGCTGGAGTGCAATGACGTGATCTCGGCTCACTGCAACCTCCGCCTCCTGTGTTCAAGCGATTCTTCTGCCTTCAGCCTCCTAAGTAGTTGGGATTACAAGTGTGTGCCACCACACCCAGCTAATTTTTGTATTTTTAGTAGAGATGGGGTTTCACCACGTTGGCCAGGCTGGTCTCAAACTCCTGACCTCAGGTGATCTGCCCTCCTCGGCCTCCCAAAGTGTGAAATTTCAGGTGTGAGCCACCGTGACAGTCCAGTGTCACTCTTTCTTTACACCAATACATATACCAGTCCTTTGGAAACAATTATTTGTGGCTTTTTTTTTTCTAATTAAGACTTTGGGGCAGGAGTGTTGGTCGGCAGAGGTTGAGTGGCCCTATAAATACAGTAAAGTGAACTTGAACCACTGCTGATTTAAATTTTTTTATAACTATTCTGTCACAGTGTATGTGGTTATTAGGAGTTTTTAGGGGGAAATGTTTCAAGTAATTTAACTCAAAGACTCGTGCATTTGCTCTCTTTATTCTCAAGAAATGGGGTTTTGCAGTGGTCCTTGAGAAGACATTAGACCTGCTCAAGTTGCCTTTGGTTCATAGCATTTATGTTAGTCTCATTCATATTTCACAATGCCATCTTTTCTCCTCTCCTAAACAACTTCCACTTGGTCTGATCGTCATCCAAGGAAAAGTGTTGGCTTTCAGCAGATAGACTATTGAATTACGTCAACAAAGATCTCTGTAAAAATCAAACAGGGAATAGAAAATAAAGTATATTAATTGGATTTGGTTTTCTAGCTAGATAAAGCACAGCAGGTTTGACTAGCTGATTATACCTACACTAATCTTTGCTTGTATTAGGAGAACATAAGCTAGAAATCTAGGTCAGAGCTTTGTTTTGTGGTTAGATACTGTCATGTAGCCTTGCTTATATTCCTCACAATGTGTGTTTCAGTGGAAGTAGCCTGACCTGGAGTCAGGTGCTGTGGTTATTATGAGAGTTAAGGGGATAAGGGAAGCCTTTGAGATCTTTCTAGGAACCATGTTAACTAGAGGAGAGAAGAGAATAGGGTTTGAAGGATTAATGAGGAATGAAATTCCTTAGTGTTCAGGGTTTGGATGTCAGTCCCTTCAATGAGCACAGCAGCCTCAGATCACTGGAAACAGGTTTGAGGAAGGCCTCACATAAGTTTTGGGGTTTTTTATTGTATTTTTTGTTTTGTTTGTTTTGTTTTGTGTTGTTTTTTGGTAGAGGTGCAGGTGCGTGAAGGGGGAATTTGCAGAAGGATTCTTGGTGGGGATAGGGACATGTTAATGTTATAATTATTGCATTAATAATAATAGTTATGTTTCTTGAGGTCTCAAACCTATTAGGTATTATTGTTAACACTTTTTTACAGACGAGGAAACTGAGGTTTAGAAAGGCAACGGAATTGACCAGAGATCACATTGCTGTTAAATGGCAGGATTTATACTCAGATATGTTTCCAAAACCTGTTTGCTTAACTGTTATACATGCCACTTCTCATCGGGCTAGTTTTAGTACTAGCTGTTGGAGACTTGCTGAGTGGCTTTAGCCAAGTTCCTTGTTCTCCTTGGTTTCAGTTATCTTTAGTCGTATAAGGCTGAAGTTGATCACTAAATGATTTCCAAAATCTTTGTTTCTATTCTTTAAAATTTCTAGCTTATCCTTTCTTTATGCACCTTCCTAGTCTAACATACTTCCATTGGAGGTTCGATTTTCTTATAATCTTTAAAAGCTCTGTATCCTACTTGTTAAAGTTATTTATTTGAAGGCAAATATCCCATAGAACTGCTTTAGGTTTCTGCTTTCATAAGAAAGCCTTATCAAATTCAATTTAGGAAGTGTAAAAGTCATTGGAAAGATTGACTTCTGTCATGACCGTGAAGAATTCCAATGACTCACTCCTCAGTGAAACTTGTGGAAACTATGTTTTAAAAAACACAAGCCTCTGGAGATGGTCTACAAGGCAAGCAACAAGAGAATCTGTGAAAATTTAGTAAGAAAGGTGAGAATCTGTGGTATTTGAACCAAGACTACTCTCTATTTTCATCGCATCACAGACTTCACTCTAAACTGCTTCAGCCAAGAACACAAGGCATACTCTGTCCCCGGAAGCTTGCCATTGCCCCCATAACCAGCTCCAGAACCCTGGCTCAGACATTTTGTCTGGGGGGAGAAGCAGACCATAAAACATACAGCTTCTAATCTCTTTCCAAAGGAATTGACTTTAGTCACAACAGGACTTAAGAGCACTCTTTAAGAGCAATGGTAATTGTGGAGAAAGGCGAGTGAAGAGATTCAACCTACAGACTATGTAGACAAGCTAGTTTGCCGGAAAGAACCAAGGAATAAGACAGTTGGGAGGAGTCCTCCTAGGGTCAGAACAATATCAAACACTGACCAAAAACTATTCCTTCAAAAGAACAAGCATTTAATTGGATTTGTTTAGAGCATTTTATGCCACAGGGCATTATTGAAAACAGTTAAGTAATCAGTTTGTAACTAGTGGATTCTAACATCTGGGTGTGGGCATGGAAAGAGAGGAAGAGACCCCTACCCAAGCCACTGTCATCCCAGTTGGGCATACCGGAAGATGAGCCTCCCTGAGGAGCAACATTAGACTCTTAACACATGGGAGGATGAAGAGACTTCAATAAAATAATCCAGCCTTTTACTAAACACATAAGCAAATAACAATACCAAGCATGGAGGGTTAGGGGTGTCAGTACCAAGAGTTACTAAAATACATTATCTAAAAATCTAGTTTCCAACAAAATAGTCATAAGATGTAGAAAATGAAAAGTGAAAATGGCAGAAGTAAATCCAGCTATATGAATAATGAAATGTGAATGGATTAAATGATCTAGCCAAAAGGCAGATTTTAATAAAATTTTTTTTAAAAAAACTCATTTACAGGAGACATTTTAGATTTAAATATACAAATAAGTGGAAAGTAAAAGAATGGCAAAGAAACATACAATGCAAGCAGCAATCACAAGAAAGGTAGAATATGGTAAATACAAGCAGTAGACTTTGAAACAAAAACTTAGAGATAAAGAGTTCCATTTATAATAAAAAGTTCAGTCCCTCAGGGAGAAAAAAAAAATTATGAATATATGCATCTAACAGTAGAGCTCCCAAAAAGTGGACAGAATTGAAGGAGAAATAGATAGTTCAGCAATAATATCTGGGGACTCAATACCCCACTTTTAATAATGTATAGAATAGGAAGAAAATTAACAAGGATATAAAAGGCTTTAACGACACTATAATCCAACTAGACCTAACAGGCATAGAACACTCCACCCATTCAGAATACACATTCTGAAGTGCATGTGGTATATTCTCTGGAATATACTATAGGCAAGACCATAAAAGAAGCTTTGATAGATTTAAAAGGATCAGAATTATACGAAGTATATTCTTCTACCACAGTGCAATAAAATTAGAAACTAATAACAGTAGGAACTCGGGAAATTTAAAAATAATGTGGAAGTTAAACAACACACTCCTAAATAACCAATAGATCAAAGAAAAACCATAAGGGAAATCAGAAAATACCGTAGTCCACCCTTATCTGTGATTTTGCTTTCCTCAGTTAGCCATAGTCAACTGTGATCTGAAAATATTAAATGGAAGGTTCCAGAAATAATTCATAAGTTTTACATTGCATGCCCTTCTGAGTAGTGTGACAAAATCTTACACATCCCACTCTGTCCTGCCCAGGATGCGAATCATTTATTTGTTCAGCATATCCATGTTGTATATGATACCCACCCATAGTCACTTAGTAGCTGTTATCAGATGCGACATATATAAATATGGTTTGGTACTATCTGGTTTCAGGCATCCACTTGGGGTTCTGGAATGTATCTCCTGTGAATAAGAGGATCACTGTACATTGAGAGAAACAAAAATACATATACCAAGACTTATGGGATCAGCAAGAACAGGGCTGAGAGGGAAATTTATAGTAGCAAGTATCTATATATAAAAGGAAGAAAGTTCTCAAATCAATAATCTACCTTTCCAGCTTAGAAAATTAGAAAAAAATGGAGAAAACTAAACCCAAAGCAAGCAGAAAGAAGGAAATAATAAGAGCAGAAATAAAAGAATGAAATAGAGAACAGAAAGCAGTAAGGAATGTTATACAGAGAGACTCAAGTTATTAAAATCGGAAATGTAAGAACATCACTACTTACCTCACAGAAATTAAAAGGCTTATTAGAGAATACTGAGAACAATGGTATATTAGTCCTGTAGGGCTGACATAACAAGATACTATAGACCAGGTGGCTTAAACAGCAGACATTTATTTTGTCACATTCTGGAGGCTTGAAGTCCAAGATCAAAGTGATGACAGGGTTGGTTTCTCCTGAGGCCTCTCCCCATGACATGTAGATAGCCACTTTCTTACTGTATTCTTACATGACATTTTCTCTGTGTGCATGTGCACACACACACACAAGTCGGGTGTCTCTTCCTCCTCTTATAAAGACACTAGTCATTGGGGTAGGGCCACAGCCTTATGACCTCATTTAACCTTAATTACCTCATAAAAGGTTTTATCTTCAAACACAGTCATATTGGGGGTTAGGACTTCAACATGTGAATTTATGTAGAACACAATTCAGTCTATAACAGCATGCCAACAAATTCAATAACGGAAAAAAATAGATAAATTCCTAGAAAGAAACAAACTGTTAAAACTGACTAAAAATAAAATAGAAAGTCTGAATAGACCTATACCAAGTAAAGACATTGAATTAATCATTTTAAAACTCCCCAAAAAAACCCAGTCCTAGATGGCTTTGCTGGCTAATTCTACCAAGTGTTTTTTTTTTTCTTTTTTAAACACCAATTCTTCACAACTATTGCAGAAAATACAAGAGAAAGGAATATTTTCCAACTTAATTACATGACACCAGTAGTATGCTGATACCCAATCTAACAAAGACATTACAAGAAAATTACAGGCCAATAGTCTTTGAATATAGACACAAAAGTCATCAAAAATACTAGCAAACAAAATCCAGTAACATATAAAAAGTATGTATACTATGACCAAGTGGGATTATACTAGAAAGACAGGTTGGTTTAAAATATGGAAATCAATCAATGTAATATACCATACTAAAATAAAATCAAATTCACATAATCATATCATTAGAATCAAAAAAGCACTTGATAAAGTTCAACAGTGTTCATGATAAACGCTTGCAGCAAACTAGGAATAGAAGGAAACTTCCTTAAAAGATAAAGAGCAACTATGAAAAATTCATAGCAAGTAACATACTTAATAGTAAAATGCTGAATACTTTCCTTTTAAGATCAAGGGATCTCCTTAAGACAGGATTTCTGGTCTCACTACTTCTATTCAATAGTGTCTGAGGTTCTAACATCAGCAATTAAAAAAAGAAATAGTAGGCGGAATGGAAAGGAAGTAAAACTATTTGCAGGTGACATGATCTTATATAGCGGAAAATCTTAAAGAATGCATGAAAAATGTTTTAGAACAAATGAACAAGTACGCCAAGCTTGCATGATACATGAGCAAGATGCAAAAATCAGTTATTTATTTACTTTAGCAGTGAAGAATCCAAAAATGAAATCAAGAAAGCCATTCCCTTTACAATAGCATCAAAAAGGGTACAATACTTAGAAATAAGCTTAGCAAAATAAGTGCAAGACCTGTAGCCTGAGAATTACAAAACATTGTTGAATGAAATTAAAGAATACCTAAATAAATGGAAAGTCATTCCATGTTTATGGTTTGGAAGACATGATATTGTTAAGATGGTGATGTCCCACATTGACCTACAGATTCAACACAATCTCTAGCCAAATTCTAGCTGGCTGTTTTTGCAAAACCTGCAGAAATTGATATGGAAATGCAAGGAACTCAGAATAGCCAAAACAATCCTGAAAAGAAAAACAGAGTTGGAAGACACACTCCCCAAGTTCAATCCTTACTAAAATCTACTATAAGGAGCACTATGTGGTACTGAAATAAAGATGGACATATAGATCAATGGAACAAAACTGAGAATCAGAAAATAGCCCATACATCTATGATTAATTGATTTTTGACAGTGGCACTGACAATTCAACGGGGGAAATGAATAGTCCTTTCAACAAATTTTGTTGTGACAACTGGATAACCAGATGCAAAATAATAATAATAATAATAAGTTGGACCACTACATCACACCACATATAAAAATTAACTCAAAATAGATCAAAGACCTAAAGGTAAGAGCTAAAACTATAAAACGCTTTGAAGAAAACCCTGGTATAAATACTTGTTATCTTAGATTAGGCAATGGTTTCTTAGGTGTGACACCTAAGACACAACCAAAGGAAAAAAATATAAATTGGACTCCATCAAAATTAACGACTTTTGTGCATCAAAGAACACTATCAGGAAAGTGAAAACCCAAAAATGGGAGAAAATGTTTGCAAATCATATATCTGATAAGGGTCTAGTTTCCAGAATATAGGTGAAGAACTTAAATCTCAACCACAAAAAGATAACCCAATTTACAAATGGGCAAATAATTTGAATAAACATTTTTCCAAAGAATATAAGCAAATGGCCAATAGTTACATGAAAAGTTGCTTAGCATTATTAATCATTAGGAAAATGCAAATCAAAACCACAATGAGATACCACTTTTTATCCAGTAGGATGGCTACAGTAAAAAAGACAATGACAAATATTGATGAGGATATGGAGTAGTTGGGAACCTCATACCTTGCAGATGAGAAGGTAAAATTGTGCAGCCACTTTGGAAAATAGTTTGGCAGCTCCTGAAAAAGTTAAACTGAGTTACCATATACCCAAGAGAACTATAAACATAAGTCCGCACAAAAAGTTGTACACAAGATGGGCATTGTGGCGCATGCCTGTAGTCCCAGTTACTTGGGAGGCTGAGGTGGAAGGATCGCTTAAGCCCGGGAGATTGAGGCTGCAGTGAGCCATAATCGCGCCACTGCATTCCAGCCCGAGCAACAGAGCAGGACCCTATCACACACACATACACACACACACAGCTGTACACAAGAGTTCACAGCAATATTATTCATAATAACCAAAAAATACAAACAACTCAATGTCCATGAACTGGTGAGTAAACAAAATGTGGTATACTCATACAAGGGAATATTATTTATCCTAAAAAAGATTGAAGTACTGATACATGCTACAACATGGATGAACCTTGAAACTATTATGCTAAGTGAAATAAGCCAGTCACAAAAGGCCACATATTGTATGATTTCACTTACAGTTGTCCCTTGGTATACATGGGGGATTGGTTCCAGGACTGCCTGAGTATAGCCAAATCCGCACATAATCATGTCCCAGAGTTGGCCCTCAGGAAGCTGGATATATGAAAAGTTGACCCTCTATATATGTGGGTTTTGCATCCTGTGAATACTGTATTTTTGATCCATGTTTGGTTAAAAAAAAATCCGCATATAAGTGGACCACAGCAGTTCAAACCCTTGTAATTCAAGGGTCAACTGTATAGTAAATGTACAGAATAGACAAATGTATATAGAGAGTAAGTAGATTAGTGGTTGCCAAGAGCTGGGGTGGAGGGGGTGGGGATGTGCTAATAGGCTTTGTATTTCTTTTGGGGGTCATTAAAATGTTCTATAATTAGATTATGGTAATGGTTGCACAACTGTAAATATAATGAAAATCATTGAATTGTACATATTAAAGCAATTAACTTTATGTTATATAAGTTATATCTCAATAAAGATGTTAAAAATGTAAAGAGCCTCGAATAATGACAGACTAATCAGATTTCCTTTAAAATTAAATAAAAAGATTTTTGATTAAGTTTGAATCATGATTCTGGCATCTTTTAAAATATTTTTCCTCTCCCACATGTAATTGAAATACTCAAAATAAAAGTGACAGCTTAGAGGAATGCCCTTGTCTGCTGATAATTTGTCACCATCACCCCTCTTCTACACCTTCCACCTGATGTGAGTCAACCACCAACATAGTGTGAAAGAAATAGGAATGGTATTTTGAAATAGGTGTGTGGAAAAGAGTAATAGGTATTTGGCTACTGCAAATAATTTAGTGAAAGATACTTACCGCCACATATTCCAATTATTTGGTTGCAAGATGGAGGCTATCCTAGTCTGTTTTCTGTTGCTCATAACAGAATACCTGAAGCTAAGTAATCTATAAAGAAAAGGAATTTATGTTTCACAGTCAGAGGCTGAGAAATCTAAAGTCGAGGAGTTACATCTGATGAAAGCCTTCTTGCTGATAGGGACTCTGAAGAGTCCCAAGATGGCATAGAACATCACTTGGTGAGGGGGCTGCTAATGTGCTACCTAAAGTTTCTCTTCCTCTTCTTAAAAAGCCACCAGTTCGCCTGCCATGATAACCCATTAATCCATTAACCCATTAATCCATGAATGGAACCCTCATGACCCAATCACCTCTTAAAGGCCCTACCTCTCAATACTGCCATATCGAGAATTCAGTTTCAACTTGAGTTTTGGGGCTGACAAAAGAAACCATAGATAACAGAGGTCTAGTCCCATGACTGGAAGGTTACCCAGAGCTGTGGCAAGAGCTGAGCGATTTTCATCTCTAGCTTCCTGGGGAGTACAGCAGGGTAGTCACCAGCAGTAATACCAAGGCCCTTTTAGATGAGTTACTCCCACAGCCCAAACTTCAAAAATATTGGGGAAAAGGGTGTTCCTTATTCATTATGTAATATGGTGATGTGAGATTGGTAATGAGCTTTATCAAAGAGATGAAATGGCAGTTTTTCAAGTTCTGCACACCTCCATTATTCCTCTATTAGACATTAGAAACTAACCCTTTTTTTAAATTATACTTTAAGTTCTAGGGTACATGTGCACAACGTGCAGATTTGTTACGTATGTATACATATGCCATGTTGGTGTGCTGCACCCATTAACTTGTCATTTACATTAGGTATATCTCTTAATGCTATCCCTCCCCCCTACCCCCTCCCCCCACCCCACAACAGGCCCCGGTGTGTGATGTTCCCCACCCTGTGTCCAAGTGTTCTCATTGTTCAATTCCCACCTATGAGTGAGAACATGCAGTGTTTGGTTTTCTGTCCTTGCGATAGTTTGCTGAGAATGATGGTTTCCAGCTTCATCCATGTCCCTACAAAGGACATGAACTCATCCTTTTTTATGGCTGCATAGTATTCCATGGTGTATATGTGCCACATTAGAAACTAGCCCTTTTCTAAGGTCATGTTCCGCTCTCACAACACTCATTGTTCCTTCCTCCTAAAGCAGAATAGAAAGGAGACTCGGGTAGAGGAGTGAGGAAGTGGCTATACAAATGATGAGACCCCAATGGCTATATAAATTCCTTTCTCTGACTCCAAATTTTATTTGTTTCAAAGAATTAGAATCAACTGGAATATGGTGAGGCCTGTAGGCTTTGTATTGCAATTCATAAATGGCTTACTACCTTGGCCTGGCTCAAAGTTTCTAAGGCTTTACCACTAAATCCATAAAACTGTGTGGTTTTAATTATTTTTAAATCAAATTCCGTTTTCTCCTATTGTAATACATTTCATTTGGAAGGATTAGAAACCAGTTTTTCTCCTTTACATCAATAGTGTCTGAGGTTATTACTCCAACCACATGTTTGTACAAAAAAAAGATGCAGAGATATGATCACTTAATTGACTGTAATAAGACTTACTTCCAGTTGCTTGTTCTTCATCACAGGAGTGAGGAAATTGTCACTTAATTCTGTAAACTTCTGAACTGAAATGTAGAATCATTCATAGTTTAACTGTATTGATATAAAGTGAACTAAGGATAATCATCTAAACTTTTTTTTTTTTTTTGAGACAGAGTTTCACTCTTATTGCCCAGGCTGGAGTGCAATGGCGCTATCTCGGCTCACCACAACCTCCGCTTCCCGGGTTCAAGCGATTCTCCTGCCTCAGCCTCTCGAGTAGCTGGGATTACAGGCATGCACCACCATGTCCGGCTAATTTTTGTATTTTTAGTAGAGATGGGGTTTCTCCATGTTGGTCAGGCTGGTCTCGAACTCCCAACCTCAGGTGATCTGCCCGCCTCGGCCTCTCAAAGTGCTGAGATTACAGGCGTGAGCCACTGCGCCCAGCCAATAATCTAAACTTTTTACCATGAGTCACAAGACCCTAGATGATTTGGGATCTCCCTGCCTTTGCTGTTTTGCTTCATTGCCTTTGGACTTGCTGTCCTTCTGTCTGGATTGTATTTTGCGTGGCTGCTTCCTACTTCTTATTTAGGTTTCAACTCAAATATCATATCTTTAGAAAGGTCTTCTCTGGCAATCCTATCTAATAAAACAGCCCTCCCCACCTTGTTCTCATCATTATTCGAAATTATCTTTGCTTATTTGTGTATTGTCTGTCTCAATGCATTAGACTTGAAGCTCCATGAGGATGGAGACCTTGTTTCTCTTGTTAATCTAAAAGATTAGTTGACACAAAGTAGGTTTGCAAAAAAAAAAAATTGGTTAATTAATTTCTTGAAATTGTTAGTATATTGGTAGCGTTGTCTTTTAGAAACCAGTACATCCAAGGATACTTTCTTCAAGCAAAATTATTTTTGTCATACTCACTGATATCAGCAATAATAGAAGAATTGTAGAAATGTTTTGATATCATATTATGCATCTGCTTGATGGATCCTTTTCATATTCTTGCTTGAGGTGATAATAAAGGCGACATTTAATCTGTACCACAGAGGCACATCAGGTAAAAGACACAATGTGATATGATAGTGTAAGTTGGTAATTTGGTTTAATTTATTAATACATCAAGTGAAAAATTTTAGATGTTGAAAATCATGCTTCAGGGAACTTGAGAACTTAACACTGAGGCGGGGCATTTAATTTTTCAAAAGTAACTCCAAGAAAATGGTGCGATAAACAAATTTTATTCTTTCACCTTTTGGAGGCAAATTTGCTTAAATAAATGCCAGGAGTGCTATTAGATTAAAGTCTTGTCAAAATAAGTTGCAGAAGGTAGACAAAAAGGAAAAGATTCCCAAGAACTGTGCCTTCATAGTCAAAACGGGACTTCTAGATCTCAGCATCAACTGTCGCCAAAAATTTCAATGCCTTGTAACTTTATATGTAGAGCAAAATAATCTTCAGTATAAGCAGGGTAAAACATCATAAGGTGTTCTTGATTAAAGACAACAAAGTTCTGTGAAAAAAAACATTTTAATGTAGATGGAAAATATTTTTGGTAGTGGTAAATGCATTATATGCAAATATATTGTACAAATTTATAATGCAATCCTTTTAAAAAGACTTCTTTTATATATATATTTTTTATTATACTTTAAGTTCTAGGGTACATGTGCACAACGTGCAGGTTTGTTACATATGTATACATGTGCCATGTTGGTGTGCTGCACCCATTATCTCGTCATTTACATTAGGTATATCTCCTAATGCTATCCCTCCCCGCTCCCACCACCCCAAAACAGGCCCCGGTGTGTGATGTTCCCCTTCCTGTGTCCATGTGTTCTCATAGTTCAATTCCCACCTATGACTGAGAACATGCGGTGTTTTATTTTTCTGTCCTTGCCATAGTTTGCCGAGAATGATGGTTTCCAGCTTCATCCATGTCCCTACAAAGGACATGAACTCATCAATTTTTATGACTGCATAGTATTCCATGGTGTATATGTGCCACATTTTCTTAATCCAGTCTATCATTGATGGACATTTGGGTTGGTTCCAAGTCTTTGCTATTGTGAATAGTGCTGCAATAAACATATGTGTGCATGTGTCTTTATAGCAGCATGATTTATAATCCTTTGGGTATGTACCCAGTAATGGGATGGCTGGGTCAAACGGTATTTCTAGTTCTAGATCCCTGAGGAATCACCACACCTTCTTCCACAATGGTTGAACTAGTTTACAGTCCCACCAACAGTGTAAAAGTGTTCCTATTTCTCCACATCCTCTCCAGCACCTGCTGTTTCCTGACTTTTTAATGATCGCCATTCTAACTGGTGGAGATGATATCTCATTGTGGTTTTGATTTGCATTTCTCTGATGGCCAGTGATGATGAACATTTTTTCATGTGTCTTTTGGCTGCATAAATGTCTTCTTTTGAGAAGTGTCTGCTCATATCCTTCGCCCACTTGTTGATGGGGTTGTTTTTTTTTTTCTTGTAAATTTGTTTGAGTTCTTTGTAGATTCTGGATATTAGCCCTTTGTCAGATGAGTAGATTGCAAAAATTTTCTCCCATTCTGTAGGTTGCCTGTTCACTCTGATGGTAGTTTCTTTTGCTGTGCAGAAGCTCTTTAGTTTAATTAGATCCCATTTGTCAATTTTGTCTTTTGTTGCCATTGTTTTGGTGTTTTAGACATGAAGTCCTTGCCCATGCCTATGTCCTGAATGGTATTGCCTAGGTTTTCTTCTAGGGTTTTTATGGTTTTAGGTCAAACATTTAAGTCTTTAATCCATCTTGAATTAATTTTTGTATAAGGTGTAAGGAAGGGATCCAGTTCCAGCTTTCTACATATGGCTAGCCAGTTTTCCCAGCACCATTTATTAAATAGGGAATCCTTTCCCCATTGCTTGTTTTGTCAGGTTTGTCAAAGATCAGATAGTTGTAGATATGTCACATTATTTCTGAGGGCTCTGTTCTGTTCCACTGGTCTATATCTCTGTTTTGGTACCAGTACCATGCTGTTTTGTTTACTGTAGCCTTGTAGTATAGTTTGAAGTCACGTAGCATGATGCCTCCTTCTTTGTTCTTTTGGCTTAGGATTGACTTGGCAATGCAGGCTCTTTTTTGGTTCCATATGAACTTTAAAGTACTTTTTTCCAGTTCTTTGAAGAAAGTCATTGGTAACTTGATGGAGATGGCATTGAATCTATAAATTACCTTGGGCAGTATGGCCATTTTCACGATATTGATTCTTCCTATCCATGAGCATGGAATGTTCTTCCATTTGTTTGTGTCCTCTTTTATTTCGTTGAGCAGTGGTTTGTAGTTCTCCTTGAAGAGATCCTTCGCATCCCTTGTAAGTTGGATTCCTAGGTATTTTATTCTCTTTGTAGCAATTGTGAATGGGAGTTCATTCATGATTTGGCTCTCTGTTTGTCTGTTATTGGTGTATACGAACGCTTGTGATTTTTGCACATTGATTGATTTTGTATCCTGAGACTTTGCTGAAGTTGCTTATCAGCTTAAGGAGATTTTGGGCTGAGATGATGGAGTTTTCTAAATATACAATCATGTCATCTGCAAACAGGGACAATTTGACTTCCTCTTTTCCTAATTGAATACCCTTTATTTCTTTCTCCTGCCTGATTGCCCTGGCCAGAAATTCCAACACTATGTTGAGTAGGAGTGGTGAGAGAGGGCATCCCTGTCTTGTGCCAGTTTTCAAAGGGAATGCTTCCAGTTTTTGCCCATTCAGTATGATATTGGCTGTGGGATTGTCATAAATAGCTCTTCTTATTTTGACATACGTCCCATCAATACCTAATTTATTGAGAGTTTTTAGCATGAAGGGCTGTTGAATTTTGTCAAAGGCCTTTTCTGCATCTATTGAAATAATCATGTGGTTTTTGTCTTTGGTTCTGTTTATATGCTGGATTATGTTTATTGATTTGCATATGTTGAACCAGCCTTGCATCCCAGGGATGAAGCCCACTTGATCATGGTGGATAAGCTTTTTGATGTGCTGCTGGATTCGGTTTGCCAGTATTTTATTGAGGATTTTTGCATCGATGTTCATCAGGGATATTGGTCTAATATTCTCTTTTTTTGTTGTGTCTCTGTCAGGCTTTGGTATCAGGATGATGCTGGCCTCATAAAATGAGTTAGGGAGGATTCCCTCTTTTTCTATTGACTGGACTAGTTTCAGAAGGAATGGTACCAGCTCCTCTTTGTACCTCTGGTAGAATTCAGCTGTAAATCCATCTGGTTCTGGACTTTTTTTGGTTGGTAAGCTATTAATTATTGCCTCAATTTCAGAGCCTGTTATTGGTCTATTCAGAGATTCAAGTTCTTCCTGGTTTAGTTTTGGGAGGGTGTATGTGTCGAGGAATTTATCCATTTCTGCTAGATTTTCTAGTTTATTTGTGTAGAGGTATTTATAGTATTCTCTGATGGTAGTTTGTATTTCTGTGGCATCGGTGGTGATATCCCCTTTGTCAGTTTTTATTTGCGTCTATTTGATTCTTCTCTCTTTTCGTCTTTATTAGTCTTGCTAGCGGTCTATCAATTTTGTTGATCTTTTCAAAAAGCCAGCTCCTGGATTCATTGATTTTTTGGAGGGTTTTTTGTGTCTCTATCTCCTTCAGTTCTGCTCTGATCTTAGTTATTTCTTGCCTTCTGCTATCTTTTGAATGTGTTTGCTGTTGCTTCTCTAGTTCTTTTAATTGTGATGTTAGGGTGTCAATTTTAGATCTTTCCTGCTTTCTCTTGTGGGCATTTAGTGCTATAAATTTCCCTCTACACACTGCTTTAAATGTGTCCTAGAGATTCTGGTATATTGTATCTGTTCTTGTTGGTTTCAAAGAACATCTTTATTTCTGCCTTCATTTTGTTATGTACCCAGTAGTCATTCAGGAGCAGGTTGTTCAGTTTCCATGTAGTTGAGTAGTTTTGAGTGAGATTCTTAATCCTGAGTTGTAGTTTGATTGCACTGTGGTCTGACAGACAGTTTGTTATAATTTCTTTTCTTTTACATTTGCTGAGGAGTGCTTTACTTCCAACTATGTGGTCAGTTTTGGAATAGGTGTGGTGTGGTGCTGAGAAGAATGTATATTCTGTTGATTTGGGGTGGAGAGTTCTGTAGATGTCTATTAGGTCTGCTTGGTGCAGAGCTGAGTTCAATTCCTGGATATCCTTGTGAAATTTCCATCTCGTTGATCTGTCTAATGTTGACAGTGGGGTGTTAAAGTCTCCCATTATTATTGTGTGGGAGTCTAAGTCTCTTTGTTGGTCTCTAAGGACTTGCTTTATGAATCTGGCTGCTCCTGTATTGGGTGCATATATATTTAGGATAGTTAGCTCTTCTTGTTGAATTGATCCCTTTACCATTATGTAATGGCCTTCTTTGTCTCTTTTGATCTTTGTTGGTTTAAAGTCTGTTTTATCCGAGACTAGGATTGCAACCCCTGCCTTTTTTTGTTTTCCATTTGCTTGTTAGATCTTCCTCCATCCCTTTATTTTGAGCCTATGTGTGTCTCTGCCCATGAGATGGGTTTCCTGAATACATCACACTGATGGGTCTTGACTCTTTATCCAATTTGCCAGTCTGTGTCTTTTAATTGGAGCATTTAGCCCATTTACACTTAAGGTTAATATTGTTATGTGTGAATTTGATCTTGTCTTTATGATGTTAGCTGGTTATTTTGCTCGTTAGTTGGTGCAATTTCTTCCTAGCCTTGATGGTCTTTACAATTTGGCATGCTTTTGCAGTGGCTGGTACCGGTTTTTCCTTTCCATGTTTAGTACTTCCTTCAGAAGCTCTTGTAGAGCAGGCCTGGTGGTGACAAAATCTCTCAGCATTTGTTTGTCTGTAAAGGATTTCATTTCTCCTTCACTTACGAAGCTTAGTTTGGCTGGATATGAAATTCTGGGTCGAAAATTGTTTTCTTTAAGAATGTCGAATATTGGCCCCTACTCTCTTCTGGCTTGTAGAGTTTCTGCCGAGACATCAGCTGTTCGTCTGATGGGCTTCCCTGTGTGGGTAACCTAACCTTTCTCTCTGGCTGCCCTTAACATTTTTTCCTTCATTTCAACTTTGGTGAATCTGACAATTATGTGTCTTGGAGTTGCTCTTCTCGAGGAATATCTTTGTGGCGTTCTCTGTATTTCGTTAATTTGAATGTTGGCCTGCCTTGCTAGATTGGGGAAGTTCTCCTGGATAATATCCTGCAGAGTGTTTTCCATCTTTGTTCCATTCTGCCCCTCACTTTCAGGTACACCAATCAGACGTAGATTTGGTCTTTTCACATAGTCCCATATTTCTTGGAGGCTTTGTTCATTTTTCTTTTCTTTTTTCTGTAAACTTCTCTTCTTGCTTCATTTGATTCATTTGATCTTCAATCACTGATACCCTTTCTTCCAGTTGATCAAATCAGCTACTGAAGCTTGTGCATTCATCACGTATTTCTCGTGCCATGATTTTCAGCTCCATCAGGTCCTTTAAGGACTTCTCTGCATTGGTTATTCTAGTTAGCCATTCGTCTAATCTTTTTTCCAGGCTTTTAACTCCTTTGCAATGGGTTCGAACTTCCTCCTTTAGCTCAGTGTAGTTTGATCATCTGAAGCCTTCTTCTCTCAACTCATCAAAGTCGTTCTCTGTCCAGCTTTGTTCCATTGCTGGTGAGGAGCTGCGTTCCTTTGGAGGAGGAGAGGTGCTCTGATTTTTAGATTTTTCAGTTTTTCTGTTCTGTTTTTTCCCCATCTTTGTGGTTTTATCTACCTTTGGTCTTGGATGATGGTGACATACAGATGGGGTTTTGGTGTGGATGTCCTTTCTGTTTGTTAGTTTTCCTTCTAAGAGTCAGAACCCTCAGCTGCAGGTCTGTTGGAGTTTGCTGGACGTCCACTCCAGACCTTGTTTGCCTGGGTATCAGCAGTGGAGGCTTCAGAACAGTGAATATTGCCGAACAGCCAAAGTTGCTGTCTGATCGTTCCTCTGGAGGTTTCATCTCAGATGGGTACCTGGCCGTGTGAGGTGTCAGTCTGCCTCTACTGGGGGGTGCCTCCCAGTTAGGCTACTCAGGGATCAGGGACCCACTTGAGGAGGCACTCTGTCTGTTCTCAGATCTCAAACTCTATGCTGGGAGAACCACTATTCACTTCAAAGCTGTCAGACAGGGACATTTAAGTCTTCAGAGGCTTCTGCTTCCTTTTGTTTGGCTATGCCCTGCCCGCAGAGGTGGAGTCTACAGAGGTGGGCAGACCTCCTTGGGCTGTGGTGGGCTCCACCCAGTTCGAGCTTCCTGGCCACTTTGTTTACCTACTCAAGCCTCAGCAATGATGGGCACCCCTCCCCCAGCCTCGCTGCCACTTTACTGTTTTATCTCAGACTGCTGTGTTAGCAGTGAGCAAGGCTCCTTGGGCATGGGTCCCTCCGAGCCAGGCACAGGATATAATCTCCTGGTGTGCCGTTTGCTAAGACCATCGGAAAAGCGCAATATTAGGGTGGGAGTGACCCAATTTTCCAGGTGCCGTCTGTCACAGCTTTGCTTGGCTAGCAAAGGGAATTTCCTGACCACTTGTGCTTCCTGGGTGAGGTGATGCCTCAACCTGCTTCAGCTCACACTCGGTGCGCTGCACCCACTGTCCTGCACCCACTGTCCGACAAGCCCCAGTGAGATGAACCTGGTACTTCAGTTGGAAATCACCCGTCTTCTGTGTTGCTCACGCTGGGAGCTGTAGACTGGAGCTGTTCCTATTCGGCCATTTTGGAACCGGACTCGTTTGTCTTAAAAAGTCTTCTTCATTATAGAAAGCAGTTTGATAGTTTCTCAAAAAGTTAAATATAAAAATATCATGTGATCCATCAATTCCATTCTGAGGTATAAAAGAATTGAAAGCAGGGACTCAAATGAATATTTGTACACCAACTTTCACAGCAGAATTATTCATGATAAGCAAAAGGTGTAACAACCTAAATGTCCATGAATGGATAAACAATACATGGTATATGTTCCATACAATGGAATATTATTCAGCCTTAAAAGGGAAGGAAATTCTGATGCATGTTACAACATGGATGAACCTCAAAGACATTATTTTCGTGAAATAAACTAGTCACAAAAGGCCAAATATTTTATGATTCCACTTATATGAGGTAACTAGAGAATTCAGATTCATAGAGAGTATTTGGTGTTTGTCAGGGCATAGTAGAGGGGAGAATTGGGAATTATTTTTAATTATTATTTTTCAACAGTTTTTTGGGGTACAGGTTGTTTTTGGTTACATGGATGAGTTAAGTGGTAAATTCTGAATGTTTAGTGTGCCTATCACCTGAGCGGTGTGCATTGTACCCTATACATAGTCTTTTATCCCTCACTTACTTCCCATCCTTTCCCCTACATGAGTTCCCAAAGTCCATTATATCACTGTATACTTCTTTGTGTCCTCATAGTTTAGCTCCCACTTATAAGTGAGAACATACAATATTTGGTTTTCCATTCCTGAGTTACTTCAATTAGAATAATGGCCTCCAACTCCATCCAAGTTGCTGCAAAAGACATTATTTGGTTCCTTTTTATGGCTGGGTAGTATTCCCTGGTATATATATACCATATTTTGTTTATCCACTCATTGGCCGATGGGCACTTAAGTTTGTTTCATATCTTTGCAATTGCAAATTGTGCTGCTATAATCATGTGTGTGCATGTGTCTTTTTCATATAATGACTTCTTTTCCTCTGAGTGTAGTTGCTGGATCGAAGAGTAAATTTACTTTTAGTTCTTTAAGGAATCTCCATATTGTTTTCCATAGTGGTTATACTAATTTACATTCCCTCTAGCAATGTAGAAGTGTTTCCTTTTAAGCACATTCTCACCAACATCTATTGTTTTTTGACTTGTATTATGGCCAAAAAGAATTATTGTTTAATGGGTATGTAGTTTCTGTTTAAGATAATGAAAAAGTTCTGGAAATAGATAGTGGTGATGCTTACACAACATTGTAAATGTACTTAATGACACTAAGTTGTATACTTTGAATGGTTAAAATGGTAAAATTAATGTTATGTATATTTTACCACAATTTTTAAAAAGACCTTTGTTTTCTTGCCTGACTATTTATTTGTTTTAACTATCTGGATTTAATGTCTTTCATTATAACCAACTTCATTGTCTGAGAAGCCAGCTTGAGCCTTGGAATCAGGCAGACCTGGGTTCCAGTCCTTACTCTGCTACTTGATAACTGTGTGACCTTTTACTCATGACATAACCTTTCTGAACTTCAATTTTCTCAGCTGTAAAATGGATTTTCAACTTTTAAGGAGTGAAATCTTGGATCTGGACAAAACTATATGCAGGAAAAAAAATTATATAGAACCCAAAAAGATAGAACATATAAAAGTAGTAAAACAATGCTCTTAGATACAGGAGGTGTGTGTCTATTTTGAGGTGGGGACAGGGGGTACTGATGAAGAACTATCATTAGCATTATCTCTCCCTACAAGTCACCTCCCTGGAATCCTCCAGGATAGAAAGTAGCATGGTTTAAAGATGAATTCCCATCTAAGTCTACTTGCTAGGAAGGGCAATTAACATTTCTGAAATACTGATACATTTACTTAAATATTTTCAAAGACTGTTAACATGTATACTTGAGAACAAGATTGAGCAAAAACTTATTGACAAAGCAGAGTGTTTATTGAAGGGAAATGTTTTTATTGACTTAAGGTTTTAATTCATGTTTATCATATGGGATTAATTTACCCAACAACTTTAATAGGTATTAGCTATATATACACACACACACTAAATAAAAAAATAAAAACCACTTGGCTAGCTGTGCTCTAATAGCTTTTCCACCTCTGACATGCTATGATTATTTTCCTTAGAAAATTTGTAGTTGTTGGATCATTGAAAAGCCACTGTTAGAAACAATCTTCTGAGATTATAAGAGTGTAAAAGCACTTTGTAAACTGCAAAGACCTTCACAGCTTGGAGCTACAGTTGTTATTACTATGGCATATTTGATCCTAAGTGTCATGAAATAGAAAGAACATTGAACAGAAAAATCAGAATATCCAGATCCCTTCCTGAAGTGGCATTTAGGAATACAGAGTTAATGCTAAAAAGCAAATGCAGACAGCACAGACAGAACACTAGATGGCAGCAGCAGAAATAGGTTAAAAAGTAGAAACAAGAACATTAGATGCTTCGGTCCACCCTTCCTCTCCTTCCTTAAGATACAAATTCTCATCTTGTTTTCATTAAAAAAAACAAAAAACAAAAAACAAAACTCATTATTGAAAATTCATTAGGTTAACTTTTAGATCTAAAAATGTTAATATTTAAGTAACACTAATCTAACAACCCATCTTCATTTTGTAATCAGAAGAAACAAATAAAAGTAGAAACTTAAAGATAGGTCCAGAACTCCTTAAGTAAATAGTTGCTAAGATTCTCCTACTTCTATTGCTGATAAAGGCTTAATAAAGTATGGTCCATATCTGATATGGACCGTATCAGTGCTGATAAAGGCTTGATAAAGGTATGGTCCATACACCATACCTTTAGTATTCTTGGCACTAGAGTATGAAGTTAATTGAACTCTCTGTAACTAATTGAAGAGCAGCAATGGGCTGAGATTAGCATATACTACACTCATACATGCATTAAGGTTAGATGTGGAATTGATAGTTGGCCAGAGGGCTTAAAGCACTTGCACATTCATTTTGCTCTTTCTCAGTACAGTTTGCAACAGTATGTTACAAATAAAGCTAAGCTAGCAGGCTAGTTTTCTTCCATTTTCTTGTTGCAAACATTTGTTGAATGCCTTGTATGTTTAGGTGTTGTGATAAATGAGGCATAGACCATCCTTAAGACACAGTCTAATGAAGAAGACAGAAGGTATTTACAGTGCAATAAGACAAACACAAACTAAAGGTAAATTCAGGATATTAAGAGAACACCTCACACAACTATTAAAGACAACAAGTAAGGGGATTAGAGAGAGAGGGAGGAGTAAGAACAGAGGCACTTCTGTTTGAGAAAACATATTTGGGAAACTGGAAGTAACTCAATATTCCTTCAAGTATTGTGACAGCCATGGAAGGGGAATGTAGTATGACAGAGACGTGAAGCTGGATGATAGACAGAGGCCAGATCTCAAAGGATCTTGGGAAAAGAATTTGAATTTTATCCTGTAATCAATCACTAGTTGTTCTTTTAAGCAAAATAGTAACAGGATTATATTTTAGAAAACTTATTCACTATAGTATGGAGACAGTATTGGGTGGTGGGAAGGAGAGGGTTCAAGAGGACAGGCAGAGAAACCAGTTAAGAGGCTGTCACTATACTCCAAGCAAGAGATGAAAGTGACTTATCTTTACCAGGGCAATGGCACTGAAGCTGGAGAAAAGTAGATGGCTCCAGAGATGTAGAATAGTCAGACTTGGTGGTTTATTGAATGTGAAAACCTTAAGAGAAGAAAACATTATGAATAATGGACTGTTTTCTGGCTTGTGCAGTATGAATAGAGAACACAGGAGAAAGAAGGAGTTGGGAGTATGACAGCAAGATGATAAATTTAGTTTTGAACATGTTGAATATAAAGGAACTATGGAACATTCAAGTACTGCAGGCAGTTGAATAGACCGGTTTGTTTGGGATGAAGACAGTGTTGGGAGTTATCAATATATAGATGGTAGCCAGAGCAAGAAGAATAAATCAGATTGATCATAGAAAGTGTGTGGGTTTAAAAGGAAAGGGTTAAGATTAAAATCCCAAAGAACAGAAACATTTAAGGGATGGATGATATTACAATTTACAAAGGAAACTGAGATAGTCAAGGGCAGATAGGTCAAGTGCTGACAAGGACAGAAACTTCTATTAGATTTAGTACTGTGAAGCTCTTAGGTGATCTTTTAATGACAGTTTCTGATAAAAGGTGAGAGAAAAAAATCCAGATGCCAGTTCATTGAAGCAAGAGTGGGAAGAGAATGTCTGGTTGTATAGTGGACTAGATATGTTGAGGAACTTTCTCACAATGCATCAAATACATTCTCAATAAAACAGATGTTTAATGTATTGCTGGGCTCAAAAAGTAACAGAAAGTTTCTAGGCACATTCTCTGCTAGCCAAAAAGTGGGTAATCTGAAACAGTGCAGCTAGCAACAAGTAAGCAGAAAGATGGCTTAGATATGAGGATAAATATTATTATTAGCGCTGACATGGATAAGGACACAAATATTGAACTGGCAGAAATCAAGGGAGCTGAATTTGAGCCTGTGGGCACTAGGCCAAGATCCACCCCTGCAAAAGAGCTACAGTGATCTCAGGTTTGTAATGTACCCTGGCAACGCAGAAGCAAAAGCAGATCTTCTCTGGAGGAAAACATCTTGAATCTAAATCCCTTGCAGTCTCACAGATAAATATTAATTAACTATGATCTCACTATAAAATATTACCAAACACACAAGGACAAAACCATTATGAGTGAATGCAAACAAATAAAAAACAAACAATAGGCTTACATTCCAACAGACTTCCTTTAGTTATTTGAATAATCACCTACAGATTATAAAACAACTGTGCATGAACTGCGCTATAGTTTGGATATGGTTTGTTTGTCCCCATGAAAACTCACATTGAAATTTGATTCCCAAAGGTACAGTGCTGAGAGGTAGAACCTAGAGAGAAGTGTTTGAGTCATGGGAGCAGGTCCCTCATGAATGGCTTCATGCTGTTCTTGAGTAGTGAGTGTGTTTTAACTCTTGCAAGACTATATTGGCTCTCATGGGAATGAATTAGTTCTTTCAAGAGTCGGTTGTTATAAACTCAAGATGTCCCTCAGGTTTTTCCCTTATTGGATGGTTCTGGTTTTCCTTTGATCTTCTCCACCATGTTGTAACATGGCATGAATGTCATTGCCAGAAGCCAGAGCCATGTCCTTCATTTTCCAGCCTATAGGAATATGAGTTAAAATAATCCTATTTTCTTTGTAAACTACCAACTTTCACTTATTCATTTATAGCAACACAAAACAGACTAAGACAAACTATTTTTTGAAATGCACGCCAACATCTAAAAATAAGTAGCCAACAAAACATATATATATATAACATACATATATATATAACATATACATATATATATCCAAATGAAACTTAAAACACTGAAAACAGTCATTAAAAAATCAACATATGTGCTAAACAGCATATTAGACAGTGTTAAGAAAATATTAGCAAACTGGAAGATACATCTGAGGAAACTATACATAATGCAACAGAGAAGGAAAAATGGAAACTATGAAGGAGAAGTTTATGAGGCAGAGGATGAGAAATTTTAATATATGTCACATAAAACAATAAGGAGAATGGAAAAAAATGTAATATTTGAAAATATAATGACTAAGAATTTTCCAAACCTCATAAAAGACATGTATCCACAGATATTGGAAGCAAAAAATATACAAAGCAGGATAAATAAAAACAAATTCTTGTCCAGACATTTGGTGACATACCCCAAACACAGAGAAACTTTTAAAAGAAGCTAGAGGGAAAAATAGATGATGTACAATGGAAAGCAATTAAACTAACAGCCAACATCTTAAAGCAAAAATGAAAGACAGAAGATAAATTATGTATTCAAGGTGCTGAAAGAATATAAATTTCAACGTAGAATTATGTAGTCAACAAATTATCTTTTAAGAACAAGTGTGAAAGGGAGGAGGTAGAGCGAGATGGCAGAATGGAAGCCTCCAGATAATGTCCCATCCCACAGGAACACCAACTTGAACAACTATCCACACAAAAATGCACCTTCATAAGAGCCAAAAATCAGATGAGTGTTCACAGTACCTGGTTTTAACTTCATATTACTGAAAGAGGGCCTGAAGAGAGTAGGAAATAAAGTCTTTAATTGTTGACCCCAGCCCACCCCCGTACCCCCAGCAGGGGCTGCATGGCATAGAGAGAGAATCTATGCACTTGGGGGAAGGAGAGCTCAGTGAT